>NC_000007.14:148852319-149003834 GCF_000001405.40 Homo sapiens
TCTTACTTTATCCCACTAGAGTAGATGCTATGTTGTTTTTGCCACCCAGGGTCAATTCACCCTTCTCTTGGGAACTTCACACCAACTCTTCTCTGAGAACTACCAAGTACACTGGAGGAAGCTGACTCAAGCTGCTTGTGACCCTGGCCTGACCAAGGTACATCTCCCTAGACATAGTGACCAGTACAGGGTTAGATACACGGCCACAATCAGTGCAGTCACAGTGAAAATCTCAGGTTTCCTGCAATGCTAGGACAAGAATGCTCACTCTTCTCCCCTTAGGTCTAAACCTGGAAAAATGTTTGCCCAAGGACTTGTTGGAAGCCATCTTGGAGAAGAGCCTCAAAGAACAGAGTCAACAACTACAAAAAACAAAAGTCAAAGCCAAGAAAGAACTGTAGTCTCATGACCTAAGCCCTAAGTCAGGCAGACCTTCCCAAATTTCGGAACTATTCAGTTATATGAGCCAAGAAATTCCCATCTTTTTTTTCTTAATACAGAGGGTATCTCAGATACGTATTTATTACTGAGACCATATATACAGTTGTTCCTCCATATCCACGGAGGATTAGTTCCAGGACCCCCAACAGATACCAAAATCCACGAAGACTCAAGTCCCTGATATAAAATGGTACACTATTACATAACGTATACACATTCTCCCATATACTTTAAACCAGCAGTCTCCAACTTTTTTGCACCAGGGACTGGTTTTGTGGAAGACAGTTTTTCCACAAAGAGGGGAGAGGGTACATGGTTTCAGGATGAAACTGTTCCACCTCAGATCATCAGGCATTAGTTAGATTCTCATAAGGATGGCCAGGCATGGTGGCTCATATCCCAGCACTTTGGGAGGCCAAGGCAGGCAGATCACTTGAGGTCAGGAATTCGAGACCAGTCTGGCCAACATGGTAAAACCCTGTTTCTACTAAAAATACAAAAATTAGCTGGGTGTGGAGGCAGGTGCCTGTAATCCCAGCTACTCAGGAAGCTGAGGCAGGAGAATCACTTGAACCTGGGAGGCAGAGGTTGAGGTGAGCCAGGATCATGCCACTGCACTCCAGCCTAGGCAACACAGTGAGACGAGACTCCGTCTCCAAAAAAAAAAGATTCTTTTAAGGAGTGTGCAACCTAGATCCCTCACGTGTGCAGCTTACAATAGGGTTCACGCTTCCGTGAGAATCTAATGCTGCTGCCAATCTGACAGGAGGCGGAGCTCACCTCCTGCTGTACAGCCCAGTTCCTAACGGGCCACAGACGGGTACCAGTCCACGGCCTGGGGACTAGGGACCCCTGCTTTAAAACCATCTCTAGATTACTAAATACCTAATACAATGTAAATATTACATAAATAGTTGTTAAACTATTATGTTTAGGGAATAATGGCAAGAAAAAAGTATGTACATGTTCAGTACACACACTTTTGTTTCTTTTCAAGTATTTTTACCCACAGTTGGCTGAATCTACAAATGTAGAATCCCATTTACAGAGGGCCAACTGTATAGGAACATCTGAATTAATGGAAGATGGGCTCTCATAGCCTACTTCATTATCACCAACAGCATCGTCAGAAAAAGTAGAGCTTCCTCCATCCTCTCAGGTTTACAGAGGCCCCAGGACATGGCCAAGACACACCTTCCTACCTACCTCTCAGGTGGCCAGGCCACACAAGTCCAAGGAATCAGCACTGTTCTCTACCAGATACGCCCCTACTCCACTTGTGAGAGGTATTTACCTAAATCAGACATTCCTGTCCCTCTTTACCCAGCTGCCAATAACTGAATAATTTGAAAAAAGTCCCATAGGTATTGTCAGAGCCCTTATTGCTTCTTTAAAAATTCTACCGGGAGGCGCGGTGGCTCACGCCAATAATCCCAGCACTTTGGGAGGCCAAGATGGGCAGATCATGAGGTCAGGAGATCGAGACTAACACAGTGAAACCCCGTCTCTACTAAAAATACAAAAAATTAGCCAGGCGTGGTGGCGGGCACCTGTAGTCCCAGCTACTCGGGATGCTGAGGCAGGAGAATGGCGTGAACCCGGGAGGCAGAGCTTGCAGTGAGCCGAGATCGTGCCACTGCATTCCAGCCTGGGCGACACAGTGAGACTCCGTCTCAAAAAAAAAAAAAAAAAATTCTACCTCAAGGATTTGCTAAATCAAGGGAATGACCACCTATTTGGTCTGGCCAAATAAATGTTTCTGTTTCTATTTCTCTAAAGAAAACAATAAACTACATGTACTATTTATCCTTCTCAACTAAATTAATAGCAGCAACTTTGACTCTTAACTGAATACCAGGCTATGTAAGGTCAAATCCAAACCCAACAAGATGTAAGTAATATGATTACAATATTCTCAATGTCCTTCCTTTTAAAAATGTTTACTTCACAGCAAGACTGCCAAAAAATTGCCAATTTTGATAACTCTCCAGTCTTCAATAGTGCCTGTTTGTATGTTTAAATGCTTTGAAGGCAGCTGTTAGTATCATTTGGCAATTTCATTTATTTTTAATGTTACAATCCATTGTTTCAATATACTGAAATTTAAATCAATGGTAAATGAGATTTTGTAGGTAAGGATAAGAAAAACAATATAAAGAGAACTTAGACATATAGATGTTAAATTATTGGTAAGTGATAAAAATTAATTACTTAAGAGAAACAGATCCTATGCCTGAGGGGGAATATAGAAAACCTGTCCCTGTAAAAAGGAAGACCATGAGAGAGGAATCCAGGAGAAGCAGGCACGCAGTGCCATGCACTGGGCACTAGAATCAGGATTCAAAACAGACAAGATCAGAGATGGCAAGGAGAGTTCATCTCATACAACCACTTTGAGGGTTGTGTCCATAAGGATTATTGGCCTTAGGCCAGGCCATGTTCTAGCTCAGCAGAGAGAGTGCTGTCATGATTAATAATGCCTGTTACACACATGGGGCAAAGAATTGGGGTAGCAGCACTCTCTATTTCACACCAAATTCCAAGTAATAAACTAAACTAATAAGAGAAGAGTTAGTTGTATTAATTCTAAGTCCTATACACAGCATTAAACAAAAAGCAAGAGTTTGGACTCCAAAGCTCATTCCCTGGGTTCAGATCCAAGTTCTCCCACTTAGCAGCTGGGTGTGAAGTTGGCCAAGTTACTGCACATCTTTGTGCCTCACTCTCCTCATGAAAAAAGGCTAATTCAAGAGCCTCCACCTCAGAGTCATTGTGAGAAGTAAATTTATTTACGGTGCATAGACAGTGCCTGACAGATGGTAAGCACTATATCAGCATTAAAAAAGTAGTGGCTATCAGGTGGGCGCTGTGGCTCCCGCCTGTAATCCCAGCACTTTGGGAGACCGAGGCAGGTGGATCATGAGGTCAAGAGTTCAAGACCAGCCTGCCCAACATGGTGAAACCCCGTCTCTACTAAAAATACAAAAATTATCCGGGCGTGGTGATGCACGCCTGTAATCCCAGCTACTCAGGAGGCTGAGGCAGGAGAATCGCTTGAACCTAGGAGGCGGAGGTTGCAGTGAGCTGAGAACACGTCACTGCACTCCAGCCTAGGCGACAGAGCAAGACTCCATCTCAAAAAAAAAAAAAAAAAAAAAAAAGTAGTGACTATCAACTACATAAATGGCAGATGAGTAATATCAGGAATTACAACATTTATATTAAAAAGTTAACAACTCAATATAAAGACTTTTTTTAAATGGTAAACTGTATGCAAATAAAAACAAAACAGGATGTCAGGGGATCTCAGGATAGAATGCAAACTATACAGCAAGTCTAACAGTATTATAATTTTATGAGATAATCTCATGGAAGGAGCAGGAGGTCGGGGGGAGCTAATCTACAGAACTTTGGACAATCTACTCTGTACTCTAGCTGGTAAATTTGTTTCTCATAAGGGTACCAGTCTGTAATTCTGAAAATACTCTACATGTACACTAGGGTTAAACAAATAAGTAAATAAAATGTAGATAATGTGTGCCAAGTTTCTCAATGTCACAGAAAGAAGTTACAAATAAGCAAGAGGTGGTGATGAATTAGTCAGATATATCAATATGAACTCACGTGTATTTTAAAATATATGCGGATAGATACAGAAACGTAGGTATGTATGCACATGCAGGTTAGCTGAAATACCTGCATTTCCAGGGTCTGTCCAACAGAGGGCCTGGAAGCAGTGACACCCCAGGAGCAATAAAATAAGCATACCCTGCACCCAAGACTTTTGTTTCTAAATACCACCTTCCAATAAATACAAGGAAGCAGGGTCTGCAGAAACAGCTGATTCTAGGGTTGGGACAGGGAAACTACAAGGCAAGCCAGTAGAAGAAGGGAAATGCTCCAAAGATGAAAGGAGACGGATAGGTCCGAGACTGGAAGCAAACAGAAGAAACTCTCAGTGGCCAAAGCTGGAATAATTTGAGCAGCAGAGTAAATCATAACAGTATTATAACAGAATAAAATAATTATTCATGAGTCTATGATATAAATAAGTGATTAAATAAACAACTGGAGGAGAAGGAACAACTCTCCTGACAAGAATTCCAACTGATACATGAGTGTATGTCCCCATTCTGGGAGGGAGAATTCAATTTCCTTCCCCCTGAGCGTGAGCTAGATTCAATGATTCACTTCCAAAGAAGAGTCTGGAAAGGGAAACAGTAATGTTTCTGTGAAAAAAAACCATAACCATTAACATGAGCAATGGTAAGTACTGCTGTCATTATGTACTCCCCGATGTGATGAAATGAGATGGGGATTTCACCTCTGTGGTATCCTTCCCCCAGACCTCAACCCATAACTTCAGCCTAATCATAAGAAAACATCCGATAAGCCGAAATCAAAGGACATTCTTACAAAACATCTGACCAATACACTTTAAAACGATTAAGAGGTCATGAAAAATAAGGAAATGCTGAGAACAACCACAGATCAGAAAAACTTAGGAGACATGATAACTAAATGAACTGTGGTATCTTGGATTGGATCCTGAAACCAACCAACCAACCAACCAAAGAAAGACATTAGTGGAATAACTGGCAAAATCCAAATAAAGTCTTGAGTTTAGTTAATGACAACATACTGATACTGATTTCTTAGTTTTAACAAATATACCATGGCTATATAAATCCAAAAGTATTCCAAAATAGGCCAGGTGCAGTGGCTCATGCTTGTTAATCCCAGCACTTTGGGAGGCTGAGGCAGGCGGATCACGTAAGTCAGGAGTTCAAGAGCAGCCTGGCCAATATGGTGAAACCCAGTCTCTACTAAAAATACAAAAATTAGCTGGGCATGATGGCGAGCACCTGTAATCCCAGCTACTTGGGAGGCTAAGGCAGGAGAATTGCTTGAACCCAGGAGGTGGAGGCTGCAGTGAGCAGAGATCGCACCTCTGCATTCCAGCCTGGGCGACAGAGCGAGACTCCGTCCCAAATAAATAAATAAATAAATAAATAATTAAAAATAAAATTACTCCAAAATAAAGTTATTTGTTAAAGCAAATTAGGTTACATAACAACCCAATGTAAAGGCATTCATTTTTAAAAATAACATTCACTTTTAGAAGTGATAACAGAAACAAATTTTAAAATCTAAAAATGTTACATAAAATGTTAAATAGGAGAAACAAAAAATATGAATAGATGATTAGAATTATTTAAAAACATAGGATTAAAAAAAAAAACAGGTAGTGGCCAGGCGCAGTGGCTCACGCCTATAATCCCAGCACTTTGGGAGGCCAAGGCAGGCAGATCACGAGGTCAGGAGATCGAGACCATTCTTGCTAACAAGGTGAAACCCCATCTCTACTAAAAATACAAAAAATTAGCCAGGCGTGGTGGCGGGCACCTGTAGTCCCAGCTACTCGGGAGGCTGAGGCAGGAGAATGGCGTGAACCCGGGAGGCAGAGCTTGCAATGAGCCTAGATAGCGCCACTGCACTCCAGCCTGGGTGACAGAGCAAGACTCTGTCTCAAAAAAAAAACAGGTAGTAATTAAGAGAGCTTGTACTATTATTATTATTTTTATTATTATTTTGAGGCAGGGCTCACTCTGTTCCCCAGGCTGGAGTTCCGTGGCCCGACCGTAGCTCACTGCAGCCTGGAACATCTGGGCCCAAATGATAATCCCAGCTTGGCCTCCCATACTTTTATAAATCTTAACTTCAAAGGAATTTGAGGAAAAAAACTCCCAAATATAATTCTACTTTTTCAATTTTTTTGGAAGGGACAAGGTCTCACTCTGTCGTCCAGGCTGGAGTGCAGTGATGCAATCCCAACTCACTGAAGCCTCAAATTCCTGGGCTCAGGCAATCTTTCTGCCTCAGCCTCTCGAGTAGCTGGGGACTACAGGTGTACTCCACCACACCCAGCTAATTTTTTTTAATTTATTTTTTGTAGAGAAAGTGTCTCACTATAGTGTCCAGGCTGGTAATTCCACTGTTTTAAAACAGAAACTGTTACACAAACAATTTAAAAGGAAAAAAAAAGATCTCCATAGCAGCCTATATGATGACATGTCTACTTGAAGAGATAATGCACTTTTAGGCTTCTACAGAATCTGAATCAAGGGAAGTAACTGTGCCACTGACTGAACTTGTACTGATCAAACAACAAATCAAAAGGATTCTATACAATTCAGGGCCAGTTTAGTTGTGTTTAAAATGAAGAGAAAAACTGGTCTTTACCCACAGTGAGAGCACACAACTCAGAAAAGAGTATTTGAGTTTGCAGTTGAATAAAGAAAAGAAGGGTTAATATGCATTCATTAAGTCAACAAATATTTATTGAGCATCTAATACAAGCCAGAGACTACAATAGAAACTGAAGACTTAGCAATTAACAATTAAAAATCTGTGCCCTTATACAGCTTAAAATCTAGTTGGACAGAAACAGTTAAAAACAAAGTGTCAGGTGCAGTAGCTCATGCCTGTGATCCCAGCACTTTGGGAGGCTGAAGCAGGTGGATGACCTGAGGCCAGGAGTTCAAGACCAGCCTGGCCAAGACGGTGAAACCCCGTCTCTACTAAAAATACAAAAATTAGCCAGGAGTGGTGGCACACACCTGTAGTCCCGGCTACTAAGGAGGCTGAGGCATGAGAATCACTTGAGCCCAGGAAGCAGGGATTTCAGTGAGCCAAGATGTGCCACTGCACCAGCCTGGGCAACAGAGCAAGACTCTGTCTCAAAAACAACAACAACAACAACAACAACAACAACAAAGTAAAATGTTTACATGTAAGATGATGTTGAGTGCTATGGGAGAAAAAACAATACAGGTAAGTGAGTTAAGGCAAGGGTGGCAAACAAAGGAATGTGAGCTGAAGTACTCAGAGCCCCAGCTGTGTGGCAAAGCCCATGGGACACAGAGATCCCACCAACCAACGGCAGTTCACCAACAGCAAACCCAGGAGCAAACTATGTAAGAGCATGTTTTCTGGTAAAGATTCCAGAAATAATTAGATTAAATATCCACTTAATGCAGGCTCAGTATATCCGCAACGCCTCAGTGATCAACACAGCTTTACAGAATTTTGATCAGGCATTAAAACTAGCATTCAAGAGTTGCTTGCTGGCCCCGTTCTGGTTAACTAGTAGGTCTCATTATCCTGAACAAAGACTAAAAGTTAACACCATTTTATAAAACATATTTATGCAAATAGCCATTCTCTGTTAGTATTATCAAGCCAAATTTAAAAAAACTGATTATAAAGCTGATCCTGAGGCTATGCCATTCTATAAGCTCTAACATTGACTATTTGGTTTTAACAAAATCTCATCCTTAAATATGTACAGCTAATTTGATGGTCTATATTTAATTTGTAAATCTGCTCTGGTTTTATCATAAGGAACTTATATGAAATCATATTCATAAAATTAAAGTTGAATTAACCCTGGGATTCCAATCAACACTCAAGTTTGAAAAACACCACATGAGAAAAAAAATGGAGAACTGAAGTAATTCAAGAATAAAGTGATAAGGGCCCTGACTGGGTTGACAGCAGTGGGCATAGAAGAAAAAAAAAAAAAGATTTTTAATTTTAGAATTAAAAACTAAGTCTAAAATTAAAAATCGAGATGCAATCATATGAGAAGGAAGAACAGGTCAAAAGACAACTGAGCCCTAAATCAGCCACTGCTACAACAGAGAATACAGAACTTCATTGAGGTTAATTATTCACATAGTAATTAGCTAGCATAGAAAAATAAAAACGGTAATTCAAAGTAAGTAAGAACACCATTAACACCATTCTTCAGCATTTTGGTCTCATGACCTGTTTAGTTTATATGTGTTATAGCTATTAACATTTAACATAATAGAAATGAAAAACTAAAGAGTTTTTTACAATTTACTTTTATTTTATTTTATTTTTTTGAGACAAGGTCTCACTCTGGCCCTGGCTGAAGTGCACTGGCGCAATCACGGCTCACTACAGCCTCGCCCTCCTGGGCTTAGGTGATCCTCTCATCTCAACTTCCCAGGTAGCTGGGACCACATGTGCACACTACCATGTCTGGCTATTGTTTTCTATTTTTAGCAGAGACAGGGTTTCGCCATGTTGCCCAGGCTGGTCTTGAATTCCTGGGCTCAAACAATCACCTCACCTTGGCCTCCCAAAGTGCTGGGATTACAGGTGTGAGCCACTACACCTGGCCTGTTTTTTATTTTTATTAAAAACTGTTATAGCAAGCCCTCAGTATCCATGGGGGTCTAGGGGGTATTGGTTCCAGGAACTTCATGGATACCAAAATCCACAGATGCTCATCTCTTATATAAAATGGCACAGTATTTGCATATAACCTATGCACATTCTCCTTTATACTTTAAATCATCTGGCTCTAGATTACTTATGATCATCTAATACAATGTAAAATGTTATATAAATCCTTGTTATACTGTATTATTTGTATCTTTTTTTTTTTTTTTGGAGACAGAGTCTCACTCTGTCACCCAGGCTGGAGTGCAGTGGCGCAATCTTGGCTCACTGCAACCTCCGCCTCCAGGGTTCAAGCGATTCTCCTGTCTCAGCCTCCTGAGTAGCTGGGATTACAGGCACACACTACCATGCCCAGCTAATTTTTGTATTTTTAGTAGAGACAGGGTTTCACCATGTTGGCCAGGCTGGTCTCGAACTCCTGACCTCAGGTGATCCACCCGGATTGGCCTCCCAAAGTGCTGGGATTACAGGCATGAGCCACAGCGCCCGCCCTGTTCTATTATTTTATTGGCTTTTTTCCACAAGTATTTTTGATCTGCAGTTGTTGAATGCACAGAAGCTGAACCTGAAAATATGGAGGGCCAACTGTACCTAATATAAATAACACATTTTTAAAAAGAAACTTATTTTCCTTTAAAAAAAATTAGTGAGTGAGGGCAAGCGTGGTTGCTCATGCCTATAATCCTAGCACTTTGCGGGGCTGAGGCAGGAGGACCACTTGAGCCCAGGAGTTTCAGACCAGCCTGAGCAACATAGCCTTCTTTTATTTAAAAAAAAAAAAAAAAAATTAATTAGTAAGTGGTGCTTTACATTTTTGCCAATTTCTTTAATATCTGTCTAATAGGAAACGGATTCTCGTAACTGTTTCTGCATTCAATCTGTTCCAATATGTTGTTTTGGTTCAAGTATATGAAGAAAATCCAGTCTCAAACATACTTAGCTTAGAAAAGGGAGAGTGTTTGAATAGCCTTCTGAGGTCATTGTGGATCTCGTGCTTTGATATTACACCAAAACAGTTCTATTAAAAAGTGGCTAGTTCAGTTCACAACTCAATCTCACAGGTGCTTTTCCTCAAAATAACCACCATACTTCAGTTAGCAGTGGTAATTTCTTTCTTACAAGATTAGATGCAACATGGAATCCGAAATTGTATCAGTGAACTTTTCCTACTCTGCCACATTAACATTCATTAGTCTATTCACTTTAAATGAATCTTTAACTCAGGCACAATGTTATAAATCATCATTCCTCATCTAAAAAGTACTGGTCCACTGAGTTACGCAGATTTTCCAGAAGTTGGCATATTTCAAAAAATCATGTTGTTAAACCCATTAATCTCATCAGAAAGTCTTTAAGTACTGGGAAGCTGTCATGCTCACAGTAACAGACAAAAGTTTTCCAAAAATTTTAATTTTTGCTTGAAAGCCCAAATGTTCTCTCTGCCAACAAATATGGTCAGTTGTTTTCCTTGAAGTGACAGTCTCACTTCATTGATTTAAAAAAAGTCTGCCAAATACCTAAGTCTGAATAATCATGGTTTGTCAGACCCTCTTTTAAGTAAAAATGAAATTTCCATGAAAAAAGTGGCTAGTGGAGCTCACAACTTAATCACGTAAGTGCTTTTGCTCAAAACCCAACATACCTCAATATGCAGCAGAAGCACTTTACACACATTCCCATCTTGTTGCACAGAATGTTACAACTGCATGCACGCAAGGATCAAGATTTAATAAAATTAATCATTTTTAGTACTTCATCAAGGACATTCTCAAACAAAACTGGCTTTTTTAACTGCAAGTGCTAAGGTGCCAACAGTGTTTATTCATTGCTTTTGCACCGTGGGTACAAATGTCCAACATGGTTTTTTTGTTTGTTTTTGTTTTGTTTTGTTTTTTTAAAAAAAAGCAAGGAACAACTCAGTATTATTATGAAAATAGTTTCTGGGAGGTTGAGACACAAGAATCACTTGAACCTGGGAGGCAGAGGTTGCAGTGGGCCAAGATGTCGCCACTGCACTCCAGCCTGGATGACAGAGTGAGACCCTGTCTCAAAAAAAAAAAAAAAAGAAAGAAAGAAAGAAAAAATAGTTTTGATCCCATAATCCCAGGCCACACTTTGAGAACTGCTCCCCTTAAATATATCCAGACATCATACGAATCCGAAGTCATAATACCCTGCCTTTTCTTGACTCACAGAGAACCTAGAACAGACAATATATTCAAATTATATATTTCTAAAATTTATAATGAAACATAGAAATCACCACTCTTGCAACTAGAAAAAGGCAAACAAGAGTATATGTGAAGAATATTTAATGAAGGGTACTTTATTATACCTGTCAAACTACAGAATTTAAATGAAATAATCTGTCATATGTCAGTGCCAAATTAAGAGACTAATATCTACTAAAATTCGTTTAAACAAATTGCCTCTGTTTTCACTTATCTTCTCCTTCACCACTGTAAGATATCATCAGTAGTTACAGTCACCCTTCTGATCCTCCTGCAACCCTAAGACAACGCCATCCTACCAACCATCTCCCTAAATACTCACACCTCACCCTACCACCATAAAAGATAAAATAAAAATCTTGACCCAGGGACCTTTTTGCTTCCTTAAATGACTCTATTGTTTTTTCAAAAAAAGAAAAAAGAATGACAAAAACACACAAGCTCATTACTGTGAGGGACTCAAATAGTCCACTCAACTGACCTGCAAAGTGCTAGAAGAAACTTCTGTTGAAGGACTTGGGGAAAGGCAGGAACAAAGAGGTATTATCAAGCAGTCAATAATAATTTACTGAGCATTCCAAAAGTGTTAAATCCTGTGAGAGATCTATCGAAATGTGGAAAATACAACAGGTTTTAGTGCCTTCACTACAGTGGATTACATGTACATGAAAGTACAGATGAGAAAGCATAATGAACAGCATTCGCCTTCAAGAAGTCTCATGATAGGGGAAAATAACAGAAAAAAGTAAAGAACATATTTGTAGTCCTGGTTTCTGTAGTGCTAAAAAGTTCAAAGGCAAAGGAAAGTTATACTAATTTAGCAATCTTAGCTGAATGATAGAAAACATTAACTTGACCGTTGCAGCAAAAGTGAGTAGATTCTGCAGTGATATATTTTCCACAACAGTAAGATCACTTTCCTCCTTCCAGCAAGACAGTAAACTATTGATTTCAAACTGAAGTCCATAGACCAGCATTCTGGTGTTTATCTGAGAGTACTGCTTAGAAAAGAAATGGCCATATAAATTTCAACCAACTGAAGAACTGAACTATTTTAAGTGTTTTAAAGAATTTGCTTGAACAACAGATAAAACAGACTCACTAACTGAATTGACATCTAAAGGTTAAAGTTTTCAGCTGGGGGCCATGGCTCACACCTGTAATCCCAGCACTTTGGGAGGCTAAGGCAGGCAGATTGCCTGAGTCCAGGAGTTTGAGACCAGCCTGGACAATATGGTGAAACCCTGTCTCTACTAAAAATACAAATTAGCCAGGCGTGATGGCATGTGCCTATAGTCCAAGATACTCTGGAGGCTGAGGTGGGAGAACCAATCACCTGAGCCCAGGAGGCCAAGGCTGCAGTGAGCCAAGATTGTGCCACTGCACTCCAGCCTGGGCAATCACAGTGAGACTGTCTCAAAAAAAAAAAAAAAAGGAAAAAAAGAAAAAAAAAGTTTAAGTTTTTCTTGAAAACTATACTAAATCGATTTTATAAGTTAAATCTTCTCATTTCATCGAGTATATACTCAGTTTACAGAAACACTGTTGGAGGAAAAACGGAAAAAAATAGGTATCAGAGGCTGGGGCCAAGTGGCTCACGCCTGTAATCCTAGCACTTTGGGAGGCCAAGGCGGGCGAATCACCTGAGGTCAGGAGTTGGAGATCAGCCTGGCCAACACGGTAAAACCCCATCTCTACTAAAAATACAAAAATTAGCCGGGTATGGTGGCAGGTGCCTGTGATCTCAGCTATTTGGGAGTCTGAGGCAGGAGAATCGCTTGAACCTAGGAGGCAGAGGATGCGTTAAGCTGAGATCGCGCCACTGCTCTTCAGCCTGGGTGACAGAGCGAGACTTGTCTCAAAAAAAAAAAAAAAAAAGTACCAGAAACTAAAGCTATGATACAAAATTCATTATAATTCAAAGATGAGACATGAGATACCTGTTATTTCAACACTTCACTGAATAAAAGCAAACAAAATGAAGGGGTAAGTCAATCTGATACCAGGTGTTCTTTTTGCTAAGAAGTCTATTTTAAATCTTATACCACGCATAAGCCAACATCTAATTTAACTTACACAAATCTAACATACATTGAGCAAAAATGTCAGAGAAAGCTCAATTTTGGTAGTAAATACAAGGGTTCTACCCACCATTCCAGACACTAAGCGTTTGCCTAAGTGAGCAAGAGACAGGTGACATGAATCTGCTGTTCCCATAACCTGCTGGACAAGTCTCTCAGACTGAAGATATTTAGCCACTCAGGAGTGATTCTAACAGGATTGCCCTTAAGTACAAACCAACAACTCTGTGCTCAACAGAAGAGCAATGATCTGTTCTCATTCTAGAGGAAAAATGGGCTGGTCTTGAACCTAAAAAGAAGGTACTGGTTTGTGGTAAGGCATCTTCCCACAAACTCTGCATGGGTAACTTTGCCTACATGCTATTTTGCCTTGTACACTAACTTTATATCCTAATCCCCAAATAAGATGCAATTCCTTCTATATTCTGAAGACAGAATCATAAAATGGACTAGGTGGTTCAAACTACTAATCCCAAAGCATTTACAGAACCTCTCATAATTTCCAGGCAATCTAAACCAAGTAACCATTATCTAGTAATTTCAATTTTTGAGTTCTGTATATGCCACAGCCAGTTCTTTCAAGGAAGTACCAATGTCTGCAAAGTGCCATTTCTTTATTCTATGGCTATCAACAGAACCCCTCACTGAAGCAGACTCTTCAGAAACTCCTCTGGCTTATGTCGGCCCCACAGTTCATGATCTTGCTAAGAACAGTAGTAGTTTAGGGAAAGATAGAGGTAAACGAGGTACGGCAGTTATGAGCAGTAAGTCTTTCCATGATTTTCCTATACTTAAAATTTATCACAAATATAAACACACTGCCGGGGTACTACAAAATTTCAAACCCTTCAAGTACTATTTACTTAATAATTGATGAGACTTGTCAGTATCTGTGCTATGGTCTGAAGGTGTCCCTCAAAAACTCAGGTGTTGTCCATGTAACAGTATTAAGAGATGGGGCCTTTCAGAGGTGATTAGACCACGACGGTTCCTGCCTTGTGAATGCCCTTATACAAGAGTCTGACTGAGGGAGTTATTCCCAGCTTGCCCCTTCTATCTTCTGCTATAAGAGGACACAGTAAGAAAGCCTTCATGAGATGCAGGTACCTTGATCTTAAACTTCCCAGCCCCCAAAACTGTGAAAAATATATATACGTATATACATATATATGTGTATATACATATATATACGTATATACATATATATACATATATACATATATATACGTATATACATATATTGTATACACTATATATTATATATAATATATATGCATATATGTATATATACATATACATATACGTATATACGTATATGCATATATATGTACGTATATGCATATATATATACATATATGCATATATATATATATTTATTCCTTTTGTGAGACAGGGTCTCACTCTGTTGCCTGGGCTAGAGGGCAGTGGCGTAATTCTGTCTCACTGCAACCTCCACCTCCTGGGTTCAAGTGATTCTCCCACCTCAGCCTTCCAAGTAGCTGAGACTACAGGTGCACATCAACGCACCCGGCTAATTTTTATTTTTTGGTAGAGATGGGGTTTCACCATGTTGGCCAGGCTGGTCTCGAACTCCTAACCTCAAGTGATCCACCCGCCTCAGCCTCCCAAAGTGCTGGGATTACAGACGTGAGCCACTGTGCCTGGCCAACTTCTATTCTTTATAAATTACCCAGTCTTGGCCAGGCGTGGTGGCTCACGCCTGTAATCCCAGCACTTTGGGAAGCCGAGGCAGGCAGATAACCTGAGGGCAGGAGTTCAACACCAGCCTGGCCAACATGGTGAAACCCTGTCTCTACTAAAAATACAAAATTAGCTAGGCATGGTGGTAGGCAACTGTAATCCCAGCTACTCGGGAGGCTGAGGCAGGAGAATCACTTGAACCCAGGAGGCGGAGGTTGCAGTGGGCCGAGATCGCACCATTGTAGTCCAGCCTGGGCAAAAAGAGCAAAACTCCCATCTCAAAAATAAATAAATAAATAATTTTAAAAATTACCCAGTCTCAGATATTCCGTTATACCAGCACAAAACAGATGAAGACAATTTGTTTTACCGAAAGTTACCATCTGTTGATTACTATAACATTACTTATCAAAAGCCCAGAGAAACTGGTTTTCTGAGTCTCCACTGACCTATGGAAATGATACAAAGACATGACCAAGCACAGGGAAACCCATTATATAATTCCTACAGTTACCTTCCTGCTATTTCCAGATTAATACCAAGGCTTTTAGGGGAGGAAAAAGCATTTTACCCCATGTATCGTCCTCTTATGTAAATTTCTGCAGCCAGCTTGAATTTCTCCCCAGAAAGTGAGATTTTCTTTTCTACCACATGGCAGGCTGCAAATTTTCTAAACTTTTATGTTCTGCTTCCCTTTTAAATTTAAGTTCCAGTTTCAGGTCATTTATTTGCTTATGCAAATGAGCACAGGCTTTTAGAAGCAGCCAGGCCACTTCTTGAACACGTTGCTGCTTTTAGAAATTTCTTCCGCCAGATACCCTAAACATCTCAAGTTTAAAGTTCAACAGATCCCTAGAGCAGGAGCACAATGCTGCCAGTCTCTTTGCTAACACATAGCAAGAGTGACTTTTACTCCAGTTCCCCAATAAGTTCCTCATCTTCATCTGAGACTTCATCAGCCTAGCCATCTCTGTCCATATCACTATCAGCATTTTGGTCAAAACCATTCAACAAGTCTCTAGGAAGTTCCAAACATTCCCTTATCTTCCTGTCTTGTTCTGAGCCCTCCAAACTGTACCAACCTGTGCCCATTACTCAGTCCAAAAGCTGCATCCACATTTTCAGGTATCTTTATTGTGATGCCCCACTTCTGTGGTACATATTTTCTGTATTAGTCCATTCTCACATTGCTATAAAGAGCTGAGGGTGGGTAATTTATAAAGAAAAGAGGTTTAATTTGCTTACAGTTCAGCAGGCTATACAGGAAGCATGGCTGGGGAAGCCTCAGGAAACTTATCATCACAGTGGAAAGCAAAGGGGAAGCCAGCACATTATACGTGGCTGATGCAGGGGGAAGAGAGAGCAAAGTGGCAGGTGCTACATAATTTTAAACAACCAGATCTCACGAGAACTCACTGTCACGAGAACTCACTGTCAGGAGAACAGCAAGGGAAAAGTCTGCCCCCATGATTCAATCACTTCCCACCAGACCCCTCCTCCAACTTTGGGGATTACAATTTGACGCGTGATTTGGGTGGGGCCACAGAGCCAAACTATATCACCCTAGAACTTCCATATGGGAAAAGAAGAAAATGAGAGGGCCAGGATGAGTGGCTGACATTAAGAATCTATAGCCTCTAGGGTAGAAAAACATGACTTTTTTTTTGGTAGTCTAGATTTAAAAGTTGGTATTTCCATTAGTATAGAATGTCTCTTTCTAGAGAATAAGAGAATATCTCATTCTTTATTTGAATAGCCCTAATGGGTAAAAGACTAAGGCACCCAATAAGAAATTTGAAGAAATTTTCTTTTCTAGAAAATGTGTATAGTACAGCTGGCCAGTTACATGCTATTTGTAAATAACAAGTCATACTAGACAAATGGTAAAAAACAATTATTTCTTTAACTGCAAAGGTAAATTCTATAAGAAAAATTGGGTAAATTTGAACTTGCCAATTTAGATTTGATTGTTTATAAAGGTAATTTATTCAGATACATCATAGTCCATTATAGCAAAAGCTTTTAGGTGCTATTATGCCCATAGTGCAGAGACACAAGCAAGATAATAGGCTTATAATCAGCATTAGATGTTCTATGAATTGACCAACTTGATAAAGAATTTGGGAAAGATGCATATAACCACTGGATTAAATGCCAGCTAGGGAGAATCTTACCATCACCTGTGATGGTAATCAAACTCTCCAAAGAAATAGTTTGACCTGGGTAACAGAAACCAAGTGCTTAGAATCCTAGTATTTGCACTAAAAAGGACCCTATAGGCAGCAATAGCCTTTTTTTTTTTTTTTTTTTTTTTTGGAGACACAGTCTCACTCTGTCACACAGGCTGGAGTGCAGGGGTGCAAACACGGCTCACTGCAGTCTCTACCTTCTGGGCTCAAGCGACCCTCTCACCTCACTCTCCCATGCAGCTGGGACTACAGGCAAATGCCACCACATGTGGCTAATTTTTTGTAGAAATGGGGCCTCACTTTGTTGTCCAGGCTGGTCTTGAACTCCTGGGCTCAAGCAATCCTCCCACCTCAGCCGCTCAAAGTGCTGGGATTACTGGCGTGAGCCAATGCACTTGGCCATAAAAGCCCATTCTTCAAGGGCCCACTACCTGAGGGAACCTAGGCAAGTTATTTACTAATTACTTCATCTGCAAAATGAAGACATCCTCTCTGCAGGCACATACATGGTAGATACTCAGTAAACACAAGTTGTTCCATTATTTATTCATCTCATTCATGTCACCATGAAGAGGAGAGATCCACAAAAGCTACGTGCCAAGGAAATACAACTAGTATAATGGCAGAGCCTCGCCCAGAGCCTACCACTCTTTGTACAACATCAAGCTACTGGTGGGATGTAGCCCTCCAAAATATCTTCTTGGTCTGGCATGATGGCTCATGCCTGTAATCCCTGCACTCTGGGAGGCCAAGGTGAAAGGGTCACTTGAGCCCACGAGTTTGAGACCAGCCTGGGCAATGTGAGACCCTGTCTCTATTTTTCAAAAAGAATCTTCATAGCATAACTTGAGTTCTCTATTTCAGGCAAATATTCTCCAAAGAGGCAAAATTACTTAAGGAATTAAGTGGGGCAATTCAACACTTTCTTCCTCTACGCCAGTTCAAGCAACACTTCTGCCATCTACAGGGCCTGCTCAATTACTCTAGAAAAGTATTTCCCAACCTTTTCTGATCCATAAATAATTTTCGAAGTAGCCCAAAATGGGGTTTACAAATAAATTTGCCAATTTTGCTTGCATTATTAATTAATTTTAATATAACACGTTTTAGATCAGAATTTTATGAATAAGGATTGCACAGTTTTTTCCTATCATCAGCATACTGTTTAATAAGTATAAAGTTCTGGCCCAATGCAGTGGCTCATGCCTGTAATCCCAGCACCTGGGGACTCCAAGGTGGGAGATCACTTGATCCTAGGAGTTCTAGACCAGCCGGGGCAACATGGCGAAACCCCATCTCTACAAAAAAATACAAAAATTAGCTAGGGGTGGTGGTGCATACCTGTAATCCCAGATACCTGAGAGGCTGAGGTGGAGGATCACTTGAGCCCAGGAGGTCAAGGCTGCAGTGAGCCATCATCGTGCCACTGCACCTAGGTGACAGAGTGGGACTCTGTCTCAAAAAAAAAAAAAAAAGTATAAAGTTCATCTTATTACCAGCCAGGCCAACATGGTGAAACCCCGACTCTATAAAAATGCAAAAATTAGCCAGGTGTGGTGGTGCATACCTGTAATACCAACTACTCAGGAGGCTGAGGCAGGAGAATCACTTGAACCCAGGAGGCAGAGGCTGCAGTAAGCCAAGACTGCGCCACTGCATTCCAGCCTGGATGACACAGCGAGACCTTGTCTCAAAGAAAAAAAAAAAAAAGGTTCACCTTATTAGAATATTTTATAATAGTCATAAGGACAAATTCTCCTTTTCCCATTTAACAAATGATGCATGGTATTGAGTTTTACATAATTAAAATGCATGATTTTCAATAAATTCAAAAGTAAAATATTTGGGGTGAATAAACATGAAGGATACTCAACATTGTTAATGCAAATCAAAACCACAATGAGATAGCACCTCACACCCATTATGTTGGCCACTACCAAAAGAAACAGAAAATAACAAGTGTTGGCAAGGATGCAGAGACATCGAAACCTTTGTGCACTGTGGGTAGGACTGTAAAAATCGTGCAGCCATTATGGAAAACAGTACTGAGGTTACTCAAAACATTAAAATAGAACTACCATATGATCCAGCAATCACAATTCTGGATATACAGTCATCCCACAGCATATGCAGAAGAGTGGTTCCAAAAAATAAAAGACGAATAATTAAAAAAAAAAAAAAAAAAAAAAGAAGAGGAAGAATAAGACTGGTTCCAGGACCACCTGTATACATCCAAATTCACTCATACTCAAACCCCCAAATCTGACCTATGGAACCTGCATATACAAAAAGCCCACCCACCCTATACACAAGTTTCACATCCCACAAATAGTGTATTTTCTTTTTTTTTTTTTTTGAGCAGGGTCTTGTTCTGTTGCCCTGGCTGGAGTGCAATGGCATGAATAACAGCTCACTGCAGCCTCGACCTCCCAGGCTCAAGCAATCCTCCTGTCTCAGCCTCCTAAGTAGCTGAAACTACAGGCGCATGCCACCACACCTAGCTAACTTTTTTATTTTTTGTAGAGATGAGGTCTCACTATGTTGTCCAGGCTGGTCTCGAACTCCTGGCCTCAACTGATCCTCCCACCCCAGCCTCCCAAGTGCTGGGATTACAGGCATCAGCCACCACGCCCAGCCGAATAGTATATTTTCTATCTATGGCTGGTTGAAAAAAATCCACTTATAGATGGATCCACATAGTTCAAAGCTGTGTTGTTCAATGGGCAACCATATATCCAAAAGAATTCAAAGCAGGATCTCAAAGAGATATTTGTATACCAACATTTACTGCATATTACTCCTGGCTAACCATGAATAGTGAATCACCAAATCACCAAGCAACCCAAATGTCCACCAATAGATAAATGGATTTTAAAATGCAGTCTATACATACAACGAAATAGTATACAGCCTTTACAGAAAAGAAAAAAATTCTGTCACATGCTACAACATGGAAGAACCTCAATGACATTATGCTAAGCAAAATAAGCTAATCACAAAGGGGCAAATACTGTTTAATCCCATGCATGTAAGTATCTAAAACAGTCAAAAATCATGGAAACAGAAAGTAGAAAGGTGGCTGCCAAGAATTTGGGGGGAGGGGGAAGTGGGAATTAGTGCTCAATGGGTACAGAATTTCAGTTCTGCAAGACAAAAAAGTTCTAGAGATCTGTTGTGCAACAATGTGAATGTATTTAACACTACTGAACTGTACATTTTTAAATGGTAAACATGATTAATTTACTATGGGCTTTTTACAATTTTTAAAAAAAGTAAAATGTTTGATTTAGAAACTACATGTATATTAGGTACAGGTTAGGTTCTCAACAAATAGTAATTAGTTCTATTATGTGCAAGCATATCGTAGGAACTCATGTATCTACAAACAGAATATATGAAATTTCACTATAGGCTATGACATCAAAAAATACAAAAGCTGCTTTAATTATGATTGAAATTCTTCCACTGTTTAAAAATAATTAACTGTCTATTTTCTTAGATTTTTGTGATTTGTTAAAGCATTTCTCCGGTCTAGTCTTTAGTATCAAAAACTAAGAGACTAAAATAGATAAAGCAGTCATGACATACTGTCTTTTTGATACCTTTTTTTTTTTAAACTTCCTGAAGACATCTTGATATACTATGTATGAATTTAGCCCATATAAATGCAGCTGAGGGATAAAGATCACTGGGATCTGATTCAAGCCTATAATCCCAGCTTTGGGAGGACAAGGTGGCAGGCCACCCTGGGCAACATATAAGACCCCAACTCTACAAAAAATAAAAAATGTAAAAAATTAGCCAGACATCGTGTCTCACGTCTATAGTCCTAGCTACTTGGGAGGCTGAGATGGGAAGATCCCCTGAACCCAGGAGTCTGAGGATGTAGTGAGCTATGATCACGCCACTATACTCCAGCCTGGGCAACAGAGTGAAACTGTGTACAAAAAAGAAAAGAAAAAAGAAAAAAAGAGGCCGGGCATGGTGGCTCATGCCTGTAATCCTAGCACTTTGCAAGGCCAAGGCAGGCAGATCACCTGAGGTCAGGAGTTCAAGACCAGTCTGGCCAACATAGTGAAACCCCATCTCTACTAAAAATACAAAAACTAGCCGGGCGTAGTGGCGTGTGCCTGTAATCCCAGCTACCTGGGAGGCTGAAGCAGGAGAATCACTGGAACCTGGGAGGCAGAGACTGCAGTGAGCCAAGATCCTGCCACTGCACGCCAGCCTGGGTGACAGAGTGAGACTCTGTCTCAAAAAAAAAAAAAAAAAAAGAAAGATCATTGTAAGATCAGTTTGCAGAATCATTTCATGCTCTTCATTTTTTTTTTTTTTTTTTTTTTTTGCCTCAGAGTTTCTCAAGCTTTCTGACTTTGATCAACAGTCTACCAAGGATATACTTTAAAATTTTACAGTAATCAATATCATAACAGCAGCTAACAGTACACTGGGTGAGGATGGTACTTAAATAATTATTTATTGAGTTGCTTACAGAAGAGAGGTCTCCCAAGTCCCAAATCAACTTCACAAATATTTTATTAGTACTTACAATATACAAAAACCTTTTTCTAAGCTCTGCCCTACAGATTAATAAAAAGGAGCTTAAAATGAAGGGAAGGAGAGAGAAAAAAAAAAAGATTAATACACATGTTATGGTACTTCTAAGCAGGAAAGAAGCTGCTTAACTTGGTTGGGATGGGAGAGGGGTGGTTTCAAGCCAGAAGCTGAACAGCATGTTGAGATGCTAAAATAAGGAAGATATTCCAGAAAGAGGACAGGCACAGAATCTCCACGTGAAATTTCCTGTAGACTAGTAAGAAAATCAAGTGAGATCAACAGGAGAAAGATATAAGAAGAAAACTACCAGGGCCAGGCACAGCGGCTCATGCCTGTAATCCCAGCACTTTGGGAGGCCAAGATGGGAACATCGCTTGAGCTCAGGAATCTTGAGACCAACCTGGGCAACATAGTGAAACTCTGTCTCTAACAAAAATATAAAAAATTAGCTGGGCATGGTGGCATGTGCCTGTGGTCCCAGCTACTCAGGAGACTGATGTGGGAGGATTGTTTCAGCCCAGGAGGTGGAGGTTGCAGTAAGCCAAGATTGTGCCACTGAAATCCAGGCTGGGTGACAGAGCAAAACCCCGTCTCAAATAAAAAAGCAAAGAAAAAAAAAACACCTATCAGAGATAATACTAATTCAGAGAGTTTGGGCTGTTCTACAGACTACCTGGAATGCTACCTTCAGGAATTTCTTAACTTGAATCCACAGCCATGAGAAGACTGAGGTGGACAATGCCACGATCACCTACAGTGGTGGTAAACAACACCCAATGGAGGTCCAACAGCTTGCTTTATATATTTTTTTCTTTGTTAAACAGGAAAAGGAAAAGTTATGTATTACTTGAATATTGAAGAAAAACTAAAAATTTATTGTGGGGGCAATTCAGGTGTTGAGCAAAAGAACTGCTACTTTACAAAAATAAAATAGTGTATAGAAACCAAGTATATATAATCTGAAAAGCCATCCATTTCTATAATAAAAAAATTTACGGGAGGCTTAGGCAGGAGAACAGCGTGAACCCAGGAGGCAGAGCTTGCAGTGAGCCGAGATCGCGCCACCGCACTCCAGCCTGGGGGACAGAGCAAGACTCCGTCTCAAAAAAAAAAAAAAAAAATTTTACTTGATTGTCAAAGTAGGGAAACTAAGTTTGGCAATCATCATTTCTACATACCCCATTCTAAGATCAAGGTCACTTTTTACTTTTAATATTCTCATTTATCCTTTGAAGAAAAAATTTAAGGCTTAACTCACTAATAAATGAAAAGGTTTGAATTATGCAAAATGAAGAGAATTACTAAATACAATAATTTTCAAAACTAGTTTAATTAAAAAAAATTATCATCCATACACCTAACAGCATATGAATAATATCCTTTTAGTTTACAAGTTTCTGCAAATGCATAACATTTTGTTACACTAATTAAATGACTCGTGAATTAAGGACAATTTGTTTCACATAATTTATCTGATTATGCTTCCCATATTAAAGTTTTAACTTGATCTTTATAGTATTAAAAATACACAAAATCAAACAAAAATGAACAATAAAATATTTGCAACACAATCTGACAGATAATGTGACTATGTACCCAGAACATATAAAGACCTCTTGCCACTCAACCAGACAAACAATCCAATTTTTTAAAGGGACAAAAGGCTTGAACCAAAAAAAGTACACAAATGGCCAATAAGCATATGAAAAGATGTTCCAACATCATTGATCATCTGAGAAACACAAACCCACAATGAGATACTTAATACTCATTTGATGGCCAAAATTTAAAAGACTGGCAACACGAAGTGTCAATGAAAATGTGAAGAAACTGTAACTCCTGCACAGTTACAACTGTAACTTTCAATTTAAAATGGTACAACTATTTTGGAAAAGAGTTTAACGGTTTCTTACAAAGTAAAATCAATATTTACCACTAAAACATGTCCAGGAAAGACATACAAATGGTGATAGCAGCTTTATCAACAGCTGACAACAGTCCTATGTGTCCATCCATGGGTAAATGAATTTAAAAACTGTAGCACATGCCTACAATGGAATATTAATTCAGAGAGTTTACTACAAGTCAGGTGCCGCGGCTCATGCCTGTAATCCCAACACTTTGGGAGGCCAAGGCAGAATCATTTGAGCCCAGGAGTTGGAAACCATCCTGGGCGACACAGGAAAACCCCATCTCTACAAAAAAATATTAATAATAAATGTTAGCTGGGCATGGTGGTACATGCCTGTGGTCCTAGCTACTTGGGAGGCTGAGGTGAGAGGTTCGATTGAGCCCAGGAGGTCAAGGTTGCAGTGAGCTGAGATCTCGCCTAAAACTACAAAAATTAGCTGGGTGTGGTGGCAGACGCCTGTAATCCCAGCTACTCGGGAGACTGAGGCAGGAGAATTGCTTGAACCCAGGAGGCGGAGGTTGCAGTGAGCCGAGATCATGCCATTGCACTCCAGCCTGGGTGACAGAGCAAGACTCCATCTTGGAGGGAAAAAAAAAAAAGTTGAGAGAATGACTGTAAAAGAGGATGAAAGGACTCTGAGATGATGGCAACCATTATAGATCTTGATCCAGGCAGCGGTGCAGGTGCATACATTTGTCAAAACTCCTCAAATCATACCCTTCAAATGTGTGCTTTTTATTGTATGTAAATTATACTTCAATACAGTTGTTGTTTTAACTAAAAATTAATATAACTTGACAACACCTATTAAAACTAGAAATGTTCATAATCTTGAAAGAGCCAACTCTATAGAAAATTGTCACACAAATGTTCAAAGATACATAAGGATGTTCACTTCTTTTCAGGAGAGAAAACAATGTCAATCACAACAGATTGGTTTGCTGCGTAATGCACATTCATAAACTGGAATACTATGCACCCCCCTTACACCAAAGAGGTACAGCTGGATGGCTTAGAGCAAGGGGCAGCAAACTTTCTCTGTAAAGGGCCACATGGTAAGTATTTTAGGCTTGGCAGGCGGTATCTAGTCTCCCTTATATGTTCTTCAGGGAAGTGGGGTGGTATTGTTTTACAACTCTTTTAAAAGTGTTAACGTTTCCAGCTCACAGGCCTTACCAAAAATGATCCCTGGCTGGGAGATCAGGACTTTGAAGCTAACGTACCCAAATTAAAATCCTTCCTCTACCACTAACTAGTTGTTACTTAATCTCTCCATCTCTCGATATTATAGTATCTATATAAAATAATGACTTAGAAGAGTACCAAGCATATAGTGAGCCCTAAAGGAATATCAATTATTTTTTAATAAAACAGATCTTTGTATTGACCTTAAAAAAAAGCCATGTTAGAACCAAATAACTTGGTCCCATTTTTATAAAATGTATGTAAAAATACATATTCATATATGAATATATTTGAAAATTTGGGGAAGAATATACACCAAACCGTTAAAGGTAGCGAATGAGATAACAGGGATCAATACGCTTTCATTTTATAAATGTCTACATTGTTTCAGTAGTTTAAAGCGAACACATTTAATCAACAGACATTTCTAAATTGAAATAGATAAAACGTGTGGTACCATTTTTGTAACTTACCAGTCCTAAGCACGTAATTTTAACTTGAGAAGTGTTTGGTTCCATTAATGAGAAAGTACATCAACTCTAAAATAATATTGGCACAATAACTGAAAATCATTTATCAAACACTTTTTGCCAGGTACAGTTCTAAGGATTTCACATGTATCAATTCCTTTAATCCTCACAACCACCTTATCAGATGTTATCATTATCCTCACCAATTTACAGATAGGGATGCTAAGACATCAAGAGGATAACACCCCAGACACAAATTGGTAGCTCAGGGACTGGAACCCAAGAAACTGTCTCCAAAGACCACATCCTTAGAACTCTACTCTCCTCCCCTCTCAAATGCATACTATTACCACTCTGGCTGAGAAAGAAATCCTCAAAGTTAACCTTTAGTCTGTCTAGGGTTTCACACTGTACCTTCCATCAAACTACAATTACCTACTTTTAAATGTAACTTTCTGAATGATTCAAATAAACTCATTCTTCTCGGAGCTGACATATCTTTAATCACCCAGAAAGCCAGCAGATAACACAGAACAGATAATATGGAGTAGATAATATGTAGTGAAACAGAACTAAGTTTGGATCCCGAATGCAAATTCCCAGCTGAATAATCCTGGGCAAATTCTTAACTCCTCCCCTGTAGACAGTTTTCTTCAGTTTCCTCATCTGTAAAGGTTTTCGGAGTGTGTTATTAAATTTTGTATTCTGGTAAGATATATAGATATAGAGAGAGATATATATAGATACAGATACATATCGTGTAAAATTTACCATTTTAACCATTTTTAAGTGTACAATTCTGTGGCATTAAATATATTCAAAATATTGTTCAACCATCACTATTATCCATCTCCAGAATTTTTTCACCATTCCAAACAGAAACTCTGTATTCATTAAACTCCCCATTCACCTCTCCCCTCACAGCCCTGGTAACCTCTATTCTACTTTCTGTCTCCATAGAGTTGCCTCTTCTAACTACCTCATATAAATGAGATCATACAATTTTGTATTTTTGTACAAAAGGTTGTATCTGGCTTATTTCACTAAGCATAATATTCTCCAGCTCCATCCATGTATCAGAATTTCACTCCTTTTATGTCTGAATTATTTTGAAATCTTTTTACTTTTATTTTGAAATTTCACTCCTTTTACGTCTTTATTTCACTCCTTTTATGTTTTCATTGGTTTATATACCACATTTTGTTAATTCGCCTGTTGGCAGACACAAGGTGGTTCTTACAAATATTAAAAACAAAAGCTGGGTGCAGTGGGTCACACCTATAATCCCAGCACTTTGGGAGGCTGAGGTAGGTGGATCTCTTGAGTTCAGGAGTTCAAGACCAGCCTGGGCAACATGGCAAAACCCTGTCTCTACAAAAAATACAAAAATTAGCCAGGCGTGGTGGCATGCACTTGTAGTCCCAGCTACTTGGGAGGCTGAGATGGAAGGATCGCTTGAGCCCAGGAGGCAGAGGTTGCAGTGAACTGAGATCACGCATCTGCACTCCAGCCTGGGTGACAACAAGACCCTGTCTCCAAAAAAAAATTTTTAATTTAAAAATGTTTAAAAAGTATCCAGGCCAGGCGTGCGCAGTAGCTCACGCCTGTAATCCCAGCACTTTGGGAGGCCGAGGCAGGCGGATCATCTGAGGTCAGCAGTTCGAGACTAGCTTGGCCAACGTGGTGAAACCCCATCTCAACTAAAAATACAAAAATTAGCCAGGTGTGGTGGTGCGTTCCCGTAATCCCAGCTACTCGGGAGGCTGAGGTAGGAGAATCGCTTGAACCCAGGAGGCAGAGGTTGCAGTGAGCCGAGATCACGCCACTGCACTCCAGCCTGGGCAACAAGTGTGAGACTCCATATCAAAAAACAAAAACAAAAACAAAAAACAAAAACAAAAACAACACAGCAGGGTGTGGTGGCTCACACCTATAATCCCACCACTTTGGGAGGACGAGGCAGGTCAATCACTTGAGGTCAGGAGTTCCAGACCAGCCTGGCCAACACAGTGAAACCCAGTTTCTACTAAAATATAAAAATTATCGGAGGCTGGGCACAGTGACTGACGCCTGTAATCCTAGTACTTTGGGAGGCCAGGGCAGGTGGATCACCTGAGGTCGGGAGTTCGAGACCAGCCTGGCCAACATGGTGAAATCCCATCACTACTAAAAATACAAAAATTAGCCAGGCCTGGTGGTGCATGCCTGTAATCCCAACTACTTGAGAGGTGAGGCAGGAGAATCATTTGAACCCAGGAGGTGGAGGTTGCAGTGAGCCAAGATGGTGCCACTGCACTCCAGTCTAGGTGACAGAGTGACACTGCATCTCAAAAAAATAAATAATAAATAATAAATAAATAAATTAGCCGAGCGTGGTGGCGCACGCTTGTAGTCCCAGCTACTCAGGAGGCTGAGGCACAAGAATCACTTTCGAGACTCCGTCTCAAAAAAAAAAAGTATCTGGGTCAAACACAATGGCTCAGCCTGTCATCCCTGTACTTTAAGAGGCCAAGGCAGGAGGATTGCCTGGAGCCAGGAGTTTGAGATCAACGTGGGCAACAAAGCAGGATCCCATCTCTACAAAAAATTAAAAAATTAAATAAGTCACCACAATGGTGTGCACTGGTAATACCAGTTACTCAGGAGGCTGAGACAGGAGGATCCCTTGAGCCCAGGAGTTTAAGGATGCAGTGAGCTATGATCTTGTTCTGTCTTGCTATTGTTAATGGAAAACAAGACCAATTATTAAGAAACTGCTAACCACATAATCTAAACACAAATTTGTCATATTTTTATACCAAGTAGTGGAACAGTGGCAAGATATGGAATGGTGCAACTATCTTAGAAATTTACCAGCTGTAACTTTTGAGGTATCACTAAATTTGCTAATCTGTATTTAAATCATTTTAAAAGAATGATGAAAAGCATCCCAATAAATGATCCAATTACACTGTCGCTACATCCTTCAGTTTTAGCTCCAAAACCTACCTCAATTTACTCCAATAAAGAACTCATGAATTATAACAAAACAGCTTTTCAGTTAAAAGATCTACTACCCTCTCTCGCCCTTTCCCTTCCTTATATTTTTGCAAAGAGATCATCAATATCAACATTAAATCAAATTAAGCAAATACTATTACTAAATATCCAGATGATTCATCAAGTTCTCTCCAGTTGTCCGAGTGTAATAGTTGCATCTAAAGGATATCTAATGTTTAGTACTACAGATTATAACTAGGAAAAACTTGGAACTTGTTCACCTTGACAACTATTTTTCTTTGTAATCATTCCCTATTAAAGAGGGAGAAAAACACATTTCAAAGTTCCTCACATGAATACTAACATATCCTGTTCACTTTGCAAGTTCCTTTGTCAAATTATTTCCCTACATTTTTCATATTTCCTTAATTCATTCAACTATATTTAAAACCCCTATTCTCTAGCAAATACCAACGTAGGTACTAGGTATACAAAGAAAAAAATAAGACAGAGCCTCTACCAGGAGGCACTTTGACTGTAGGGAAGAGAGGGATGCATAAACAAGTGATTACAATACAATTGAGTCATGCTACAATAAAATATGATAAAACCCTGTGGGAACACAAGAGTGGGAATTCAGGGAAGACCTCCAGAAGGTAAAGTATGTATCATCTGACCATGAACCTTTCTCTGAATTTAATGAATTGCTGCTGTTCACTTATGCTCTCCCCCGAAGATTTCACCTACTCATATAGAATCTATCATGATTTACAGAAAATTTGTCATCTATACTGATATAAAGACTTCAAGGCTAATCCATAAATCATTGCTAATTAACCACAGAATACATTATATTGGAGGATTTGTCCTTGTTGGTTTTTAAAAAGCAGATCAACTTTCTCAATCACTGCTCATGTAAAGGGTAATACTGAAATAAATTCAGAATCCTTGAGCACACTACCTCAAAAGAAGGAAGGTATCCTGGGAAAATTCCAGTATGACTTGGAGAAATTTGCCTAAAATTTTTAAATGGCCAACATAAAGATATTCACTTAAATGTATTTGTGCAAGGCAAAGCTAGGTATCAAAGTATCAGAACTTTTTCTAACTACACTAGATCAACAAGTGTGTTTTAAGTCACTGCTACTTAAACTGACTAAATACATTCTCAATTGTACCAGAAAATAATTTAATATGAATTTTTAAACCAATTCCCCAAAGAGATGTTTTTCAAAATATCTCATGGCAAGTACAAAGAATAGTAATTATCAAATACAGAGAACACTCAAGGGCAAAGTTAGAAATTTTTATCCTAGGCTGGGCGTGGTGGCTCACGTCTGGATCAGCATTTTGGGAGGCGGAGGCGGGTACATCACTTCAGGTCAGGAGTTCGAGACCAGCCTGGCCAACATGGTGAAACCCTGTCTCTGCTAAAAATACAAAAATTAGCCGGGTGTCGTGGTGCGTGCCTGTAGTTCCAGCTACTCGGGAGGCTGAGGCAGGGGAATTCCTTAAACCCGGGAGGCAGAGATTGTAGTGAGCCCAGATCCAGCCACTGCACTCCAGCCTGGACGACAGAGCAAGGCTCTGTCTCAAAAAAAAAAAAACATATACACACACACACACGCGCGCGCACACACACACACACACACACACACACATATGTATCCTAAAATATCCGAATTTCTGCCAAAAATCTGCATAACTACCTTATCTCATAATGGACAAGATTATTAATAGGATTTTTTAAATACAGAATTAATAGTAACTAATATAAACGTTACTTTTTTGTTATAATGTCTCAACACTTAGACCAGCACCTGGAATGCCCGTACAGTGGTGTCAACACTCTCCAAAATATATGTAATAAATTTATATTGCATTTATTTGTCTCCATTTTTATGAAACCTTAAGTTAGCAGATGCACATTAGATCTTTATCATATAGGACAGTGCAACCAGAAGAACGCCTATGTTTTTCTAACTTGTTTTCTTGGAATATATTCACTTTCCACAAAAACGAGAATTTAAGATGCAGTGTTCCTGTTTCCGGGAAACCTTAAATATTACATCACCCAACACACCTCCGAAAAGAGAGAACAAGACGCTTTATATCTATGACTAGAATCCTACCTATTCCTAACTTTAGAGACCATGAATAGAAAATTAAAATATATCTTAAATACTTGTTTTCCTGCAAATAAAATTACAAATAAACAAGTTAGGATTACACACTTGTACAGTATTCCTAAACATGAATTAGTTGCTAATGCTTATGAAGAGTAATAGAAAATAAACTCCAAAACCCCTAAAAGTATAAACTACATTCAATTGTGACAGCATTCGTGTTTTTCAAAGGTTTATTAAATGCTGTTTTATGATGACATCAAAACGCCACAAAATTAAACTAATAATAACTTGCTTGAACCCTAAAAAGCAAGCCTTTAAGTAAATAGCAAAGACACATTTTTATTTCCAAATGAATTTAAATGTTACAGATCCTGTGTGATAAAGGAAGTTTAACTGTGGACAGCACACGTTAAATTTCTTAGGCAACAAACATTTCTCCATGCAGTCTTTTCTGAATCACCAAAGCTATTGTTCACAGAAAACGAGACCAATTAATAAGAAACTGCTAACCGTATAATCTAAACACACATTTGTCATAGCCATTCTATTTTGATCACCTACTTCTACCACCTCATCCTCATTCAACCCGTCGGGATTTGGGGAATAATCTGGCTGAATGACAGTTGATTTCGTTAGCACCTGTCGCCATTCTCAGATGTATCACACAAGTTGGCCAAAACAGCTTGTAATGTTTAAGGATTACGATTCTTTAGAAAGTGGCAACTCACTAGGCGTTCACCAAGTTTTCCAAAAGATCGTGCTTCTCGATTCCTCCCGCTTTCAAAAAGTAACCCTGTGGCACAGATTTTTGGGGGGAACGGAAGGGGATGTACACAATGAAGTGGGAATTCAACAGGACGCCCTCCAGAAACACAATCAATAGAGAGCAGAGCAGCTCGACTCTTCCCTCAAACTTAGCATAAAGCCAGACCAGGCGGCGAGGGCAGCCCGCGACCGCCGGAGCTCAGGGGGATTTCGGGGTGCGTCGTGGGGAAACGTCAGAGGCGAAGCTACTCCGAGTTCCCCGCCGCGAACGTCGTCCCGCGAGCGCCGCGGCCCCAGCCCGGGGTCGGCGCGCCCGGGACCGGGGGCGTGCGCGAGGCGAGGGCCGAGCCCTGCCCACCCCGGCAGCGGCCCGCGCCTCCCCACGCCCCTCTCCCGCCCGCCGGCGGGCCCGGGTGTCATGCCCCTTCCCCTCGCGCCGAGCCCTCCGGAGACACAGTCCGTCCTTTGTCTGAGTGCGGACTCGGCGGCTGGGTCCCACCAACTTGTGTCTGTCCCGTCCCACCCGGGCGCTCCCGCCGCGGCCGCGCCACACAAAGGAGACTTGAGGCTCGAGCTGCCACCCTGGACCGGGCACCGGAACGCCCCGACCCCGGCCCCGGCGCCCCGGCCAGGACAAGCACCGGGAAAGGAGCCCCCCACACGCCCCCCGCCCCGCAGCTCCAGGGGTGTGCGCTGCCTCACTCGCAGGGTCCCGCGGGCCAGCCCGAAGCTCACAGCTCCTTCCGGGGAGGGGGGCTCTCCCCTCACCCTCCACCCCCCGCACGCCTACAAACGCGGCGCCCCGGTGAGCCCCGCTCGGCGATACCCGGGACCGGCACAGCAGTGGCGGGGAGGTCCTGGCGCCGCCGCCGCCGCCCGGTTCGCACTCCCGGAGCCCCGCCGGCCGGGCCGCCCGCAGCGGCGCGTTACCTTCGTCCCGCGCGCCGACTCGCGTTGTTCCCGCGCGTCGCCCCCGCGCGCCGCCGCCGCCGCCGCCGGGGCTCCACTGCCTTCTGAGTCCCACCGGGTGTCGGACGCGACCGGACCGAGCGCCAAACGCGGCAGCCCAATCGCCATCGCTTTTATTTGGCCCCCCCAGCCCAATCAAGCGCCGCCCCGATTGGCGGGACGCGAGGCGGGCGCCCGTCCAATCACAGGGCCCGCCGGGCTCGGAGGCGCCGAGCCAGCCCCACGCAGAGTGCGCTCAGGGCTCGTGGGCGGGCGGGCACTGGCAGCGCGTGCGCGCGCGGGCGGCGGCGGGGTTCGCTGTAAGGGACGCCACTGGCCGTGTGGAAGCGCCGCCGCCGTCTCTTTGTTCTTTCGCTGAACACACGGCGCCTCTCAGGAAGGCGGTGTGCAGGCACGCGGGGACCGGGAGACATCGCGGGGGCCCGGAGCCCGCCGCGGACGGGAGGCGGGGAGGATAGGTGGCGGGAACCGGCCGAAGGGCGGGACGAAGCGCCGGCGGCTCTTGGCGGGAACCGGCGCCGCAGAGTTCCCGGGCGGGGGAGGGGCGGGGCGGGTGCTGGAAGCCAAGTTTGAACCAGTTCAAAACTCGGGGGTGGTAACGGTTTTAACCGCCGCGCTCGTTTCCCCGCGCGCGGAGCCGAGGCCCGGGCTGGCCGCTCCTAGTGGTGCCCGGGGAGGGGAGGGCGCGGGCCCCGGAGGTCGGCTCAGCTGTGGCGCCGCGTTTGCCGGGAGACGCTCGCCCGGCCCGCGCGCTGCCGCCGGACCCGTTACTACTTTTTTTTTTTTCTCCTGAGACGGAGTTTCGCTCTGGTTGTCCAGGCTGGAGTGCAATGGCGCGATCTCGACTCACCGCAACCTCCGCCTTCCGGGTTCAAGCGATTCTCATGCCTCAGCCTCCCGAGTAGCTGGATTACAGGCATGCGCCACCACGCCCGGCTAATTTTCTATTTTTAGTAGAGACGGGTCTTGGTCAGGCTGGTCTCGAACTCCCGACTTCTGGTGATCCGCCCGCCTCGGCCTCCCAAAGTGCTGGGATTACAGGCGTGAGCCACCGCCGCCGACCCGGGCCCTGTTTGATTATGTCTGCTGCTGCCTTGGCCGTTTTTTCCCCCACCGCTGGACTTTGGCTGGCCGAGCTTGCAGTGCTTATCGCCCTAGAAACCTGTGAAAGGGCGACATTGCTGCCATTTCAGACCCTTCCACTGTTCGTAGTTCTAAGCACGTGTCAGTGTTAAAAATCCTTTATCAAGATGAGCACTGTTCACTTGCCGCCTCTGCAAAGTGTGAGGATATTTGCAAGGCGCGGTGGCTCACGCCTGTAATCCCAGCACTTTGGGAGGCCGAGGCGGGCGGATCATAAGGTCAGGAGATCGAGACCATCCTGGCTAATAACGGTGAAACCCCGTCTCTACTAAAAATACAAAAAATTAGCCGGGCGTGGTGGCGGGCGCCTGTAGTCCCAGCTACTCGGGAGGCTGAGGCAGGAGAATGGCGTGAACCCGGGAGGCGGAGCTTGCAGTGAGCCGAGATCACGCCACTGCACTCCAGCCTGGGCGACAGAGCGAGACTCCATCTCAAAAAAAAAAAAAAAATTGATCTTGGTTATGGGGGGTCAAGCTACCTCAACCCAGAGGAATTAGAGGGATTCTGCTTAGGATACAGTCTCTCCTATTGCTTCATGTGGCAATGCAGTTAAGAGTATTCCGAATTTATTTTTACTAGGATGTATCTATGGGGTAAAATACCATTGTCATGTAAACTGAGATTCCATATTGAGAGTTCATACTGGAAACTGAAAAAAGGTCACCTATGAACTGTTGGGGTAAAAATCTGAAGAAATATTTTTAATGAATTTAATAACTAGCCAGAATTTTTTTTTTTTTTTTTTTTTTAAGAAACGGAGTCTCACACTGTCGCCCAGGCTGGAGTGCAGTGGCACCATCTCAGCTCACTGCAAGCCCCGCCTCCCGGGTTCACACCATTCTCCTGCCTCAGCCTCCCGAGTAGCTGGGGACCACAGGTGCCTGCCACCACACCCGACTAATTTTTTGTGTTTTTAGTAGAGACGGGGTTTCACCGTGTTAGCCAGGATGGTCTCGATCTCCTGACTTTGTGATCCGCCCGTCTCGGCCTCCCAAAGTGCTGGGATTACAGGCGTGAGCCACTGCGCTGGGCCAGAATTTTTCATCAGATGATTTAGCCCATAATTTTCCCGCCTTTCCTAAATCACCATCCCATTCCTCACATATATTCTGAATCACTCCAATGTTGGAAAGTATATATAAAGGGAAGCTAAAAGATAAGGAGAAACAAGCAATCATGTGCCCAGATAAAAGCAAAATTGTCTTGTGAATCAGTGATAACACTGCAAAAAGTAAATAGGTTATGCAGCTGAGATGTGACTGTAAAATAACGTAACGAATTATAGCTGCCATTACTTCCAGTCACGAATACATTCATTCTCCAAGATAAAATGCATCTGTCTAGGCCACCAATTTACAATTTTTTAAAACCAGCAATTTAAACCTCAGAAATTAACTACTTATCCCTAAGTTGCTTATCAAATTACTGAACTTATCAGTCCTGTAATACTAAATATTAAAACAAGGCATTTTTAAGAGGAAGATCAACGAAATTAGAGACTACCATAAAGCAAATCAAAGCAGTATATAACTCTGCAACATGGTGTGAAATGTCATGTAAATTGCTAGACGTTTAGAATCAAGGAATGGATGGATCAAGATATTCCAGGCCAGACTTAGTGGTTCACACCTGTAACCCCAGTACTTTCAGAAGTCGAGGTGGGAAGCTCCGAGACCAGCCTGGGCAACATAGCAAGACCCTATCTCTACAAGAAATTTAAAAAATAACTGAGTGTGGTGGCACAGAAGTACCTATGGTCCCACCTGCCCCTGAGGCTGAGGTGAGGGGTCTGCTTGAGCTCAGGATCCCAAGGTTACCGTGAGCTATGATCACATCACTGTGCTCCAGCCTGAGCAACAGAGTGAGACCCTATCTCTTTAAAAAAAAAAAAAAGTGATTGGACAAAATATAATTATTGGCACCAAGTGAATGTTAGGAAAAAAAAAAAACACGTACAAAGAACTTTATAGAGCAGCCATTCCCACTGGGAAGAGTGTGTAGGTTGGACTCTAACCATTAAAGAGCTAGGTGGGATGATACTAAATATATATAACAGACATTTAATATAAATATGATATGAAGGCTAAGGTGAAAAGGGATGCCAGTGGATCACAGTATTTTCTTGATTCAATGATGACATTGTCCATTTAAGCAAGGTAGTTTAGGCCACAGTAATGGCAGAAAAAGGGGATAATTTGAAAATATTCCAGAAGGACTTCATTGTATGTGGGGTTCATGATGTCTCGCGACTCCTTTCCGTATATGACAAATACAGCAAAGTTAGGAGGGGGAAGAAGTATTTTGCTTTTGCTACCAAAAGAAAAACTGTCTGAAGATGTCTAACCCAGGAAAGCAAGAAAATATACAGGCCTATTTAACAGACCTCTATGACTATTTCAATGGGAAAAAAAATTTTTAATGTGTGTAATGAATAGTAAACATATAAGCAAGTGTGTGTGTGAATGCCAGTTACTCAAGGGGCCTAGATGAAGCAGAAAGCCAGGCTAAACACAAAGGTGGATATGGAGGTTGAGGGTCACCAAGCTTTTTCATTTCTGTAAAGATTGTTCTGTGTGAACAACAAAGATTTGGTATTAAAGTTAAAAGATGAAACGAAAAACAGTTAAGCCCCAAAGTTGTAACCCCAGGGCCTAGCGTGCCCGGCACATAGCTGATTCTCAGGGTTGTCCTGGGGGAACTGGAGAAGATGGAGTGCAAAGTTAAGGCTGTCAGCCAGCAAACTTCCCTTTCCATCCCTTCACTTCTCAGAACCTCCCTTTCAACCCCAAAAATGGGATTTACTTCCCACATATTATACAGCACTCATTTATGGAGTGCTTACTCTGTGAATGATGATTATACCGAACATGAGGTGGTGATAAAAATAAGGCATGGGAAGAGGGGAGTATTGGGTGCAATTGCTGTAATTTTAAAACAGCTTGGGGCTGGATGTGGTGGTTCACGCCTGTAATCCCAGCACTTTGGGGACCGAGATGGGAGGATTACTTGAGTTCACAAGTTCTAGATCAGCCTGAGCAACATAGCGAAACCTCATCTCTTCCAAAAATACCAAACTTAGCCGGTCATGGTGCCTATAGTCCCAGCTACTCTGGAGGCTGAGGTGGGAGGATCGCTTGAGGCTGGGAGGCGGAGGTTGCAGTGAGATGGGACCACAGCACTCCAGCCTGGGAATAAAATAATTTTTTAAAAGCCACTTGGTTAAGGAAGCCCTCATTTTGAAGGTGACATATGAAGAAAAACTTGAAGGAGCTGAGGGAGCATTTACTGAGAGAAGACTGTTCTAGGCAGAGAGAAGGGCCAGTCAGTGCCTGGGCCTGAGGCAGAAGCGTGGCTGATGTGCTCTGGCACAGGAAGGGGAAGAAAAGTGGGAAATGATGTTGAAGAATGGAGGCGGCACAAGCAGATTTTTCAGCTCCTTGTGGACCATAGTTAGGTCTTTATCTTTTATAAAATGAGAGGATTTTGAGTGGAAAGGCGATTTGATCATTTAAACAAGATCATTCTAGCTCCTGTGTTGAAAGGATCCTGAAGCGGAGCCGGGGCCAAATCAGAGAGGACAGTGATGAGTCCGTTGTAATAAGCCAGGCAAGAAATGATTGTGGCTCAGACCAAAGTGGTAGCAGTGAGCTGGTGGGAAGTGGAGTCTGGATATATTTTGAAGGTATAAGCAACAGAATTTCCTGACAGATTGGATATAGGATACAAGAAAGATTGCATGTAAGAAGTATCAGTTCTCAATACAAGAAGCCTGAGAAGGGATGAGCTCTCATGAAGAGCCAGAGTGGCATTATACTGCAGCCTGGAACACACCCCAGGCTGGGGTCAGGAGATGTGTGGCATGTCGAGAAACCTTCATAAAGATAACATAATTTTTGGTTGTGATTGAAATTAACCTGATCCTTTTCGGAACCAGCTTGAAAGAGTCACCTCTAGAAAACCCAAGGAAGGTGTGGTAGCCAGCCTCTAAAATGCTCCTTTTTGGCTTTGTTTTTATTTTTATTTTTTTGTTTTTTTGAGAGAGAGTCTCGCTCTGTTGGCCAGGCTGGAGTACGGTGGCACAATCTTGGCTCACTGCACCCTCCATCTCCTGGGCTCAAGCGGTTCTGCCTCAGCCTCCCGAGTAGCGGGGATTACAGGTGCGCGCCACCATGCTTGGCTAATTTTTGTACTTTTAGTAGAGATGGGGTTTCACCATGTTGGCCAGGCTGGTCTCGAACTCCTGACCTCAGGTGATCTGCCCGCCTCGGCCTCCCAAAGTGCTGGGATTACAGGCGTGAACCAACATACCTGGCCAATGCTCCCGTATTATTAATACCACCTCCTGGTATTCACTGCCTTGTGTAATCTTCTCCCTTGTTGTGGGCTAGACCTATTGACTTGCTTCTAATAGGATATGGCCACAAAAAGAATGGGATGTTATCCCCAAAATCACATAATGAGGAGATCGTGACCTCCCAGCTCCTGTATCCCTTCCTCTGGCTGTAACAAGCTGCTATTTCAGCTTTATCTCATAGCTCCACCACCCTAAGTTCCAGCCATATTGTATTACTCACTTTCCCAAACAGAGTTTCAGCTAAACTGATCAAGATGTTACCATTTTAAGACGTTTAAGAAAGAAATTTGATCAAACAAAATAAGTAGACTAAAATAGATAAAAGCCTTTAGACTATCTAGAAATTCCCTGGCTGTTTTAAACAAATTCAAGTGTGAAACTGAGGAGTACTTGGCCAAAATATGGTTACAAACAACCCCTGGGCAGAGTATCATTTTCCAGATGGGACACCTGTCTTGTAAAAGACTGTTGAGGATTTGGGGAAGCAAAGAACTTACCACTATTCTGGGCTGTAACAAAGGAGAAGCTCAATAAAGACTAAAAAATACTGTACAAAGAGAGGACATAGAGGATCACTTGAGCCCAGGAGTGCTGGGCTGTAGTGGGCTGTGTTGATCAGGTGTCTGCACCAAGTTGAGCATCAGTATGGTGAACTTCCAGGAACTAGAGACCACGAGGTTGCCTAAGGAGGGGTGAATCGACCCAGGTTGGAAATGGACCAGGTTAAAACTCCTGTGCTGATCACTGCTAGTGGGATTATGCCTGTGAATAGCCACTACCCTCCAGTTTGGGCAACAACATGACCCCATCTTTTTTTTTTTTTTAAAGTCCAGGCGTGGTGGCTCACACCTGTAATCCCAGCACTTTGGGAGGCTGAGGTGGGCTGATTGCCTGAGCTCAGGAATTCGAGACCAGCCTGGGCAACATGGTGAGACACCATCTCTACTAAAAACACAAAAATTAGCCAGGTGTGATGGCGCATGCCTATGGTCCTAGTTACTCGAGAGGCTGAGGTACGAGAATTGCTTGAACCTGGGCAGCAGAGGTTGCAATGAGCTGGGATCACGCCAGTGAACTCTAGCCTGGGCAAGAGAACAAGACTGCCTCAAAAAAAAAAAATGGTTTTAGGAAAGGATAAGACATGGAAACAAAACCGCACAATTGTATAAGTAATCATCAAGTATTAGAATTAATGAGTGAAGTTAACAAGGTCACTGGATACAAACTTAGTTTACAAAAAAGTCCATTTCTGTGTATAACAATAAAGAGGAAATTAAACTTTTAAAGTGATATATACCATTTACCTTTGGGAAAATATCAAATATCTAGTCATCTGATGAAAGATGTGTAAGACCTATGCACAAAGCATTACAAAACAATATTGAGGAAAACTTTTTTAAAGCCCTAAATAGAGGGAATGTCATTTTTATGATTTGGAAGATGCACAGATTCAACATGATGCCAATTAAAATCCCAGCAGGATTTGTGAGTGCGTTTGCATCTGTGTTGTGTGTAGAAATTGACAAGTTGATTCTAAAATACATGCAAAATGCAAAAGGCCGAAAAGAGCCAAGAGAATTAAAGAAGAATGAAACTGGGCAACTTTACTACCAAATATCAAAACCTGGCTGTTTATTTTACTTTTTATTTTTTTTGAAATGGAGTTTCACTCTTGTTGGACAGGCTGGAGTGCAATGGCATGGTCCTGGCTCACTGCAGCCTCCGCCTCCTGGATTCAAGCGTTTCTCCTGCCTCAGCCTCCCAAATAGCTGGGATTACAGGTGCCTGCCACCATGCCTGGCTAATTTTTGTATTTTTAGTAGAGATGGGGTTTCACCATGTTGGCCAGGCTGGTCTCGAACTCCTGACCTCAGGTGATCTGCCCGCCTCAGCCTCTCAAAGTGCTGGGATTATAGGCGTGAGCCACCATGCCCGGCCAAAACCTAGCTTTTTAAAGCTGTTGTAATTAAGACAGTGATACTGCCCCAAAGGTCAACAAATAGACCAATGGGAAACAAAGAGTCCAGAAACAGACTCATACCTATATGGTTTATAACAAAGGTGGCTTTTCAGTGCAGTTGGGAAAGGATCATCTTTTCAATAATTGGTTTTGGGTCAACTGGCTATCCTTACGGGGTGGGGAGGGGAAATCTTGACCCCTGCCTCAAACCAGATGAGTTGCTGGTCTAAATGTAAAAGAAAACAGAATGATTTTGGAATAGTCAAAAAGTTCTTAAACAGAATCAAAAATGTGCTCACCATAAACGGCCGGGTGCAGTGGCTCACGCCTACAGTCTTAGCACTTTGGGAGGCCAAGGCGGGTGGATTGCCTGCAGTCGTGAGTTCAAGACCAGCCTGTCCAACATGGTGAAACCTCGTCTCTACTAAAAATACAAAAATTAGCTGGGCGTGGTGGTGGGCACCTGTAATCCCAGCTACTCGGGAGGCTGAAGTACGAGAATCTCTTGAACCCGGGAGGCAGAGGTTGCAGTGAGCCAAGATCGTGCCATGCACTCCAGCATGGGCAACAGGACAAGACTCTGTCTCAAAAAAAAAAAAAAAAAGTGCTCACCATAAAGGAAATAAGTGGTATATTGATCAATTGATCGTATATTGATCAATTGTTCATATATTGATCTATATTAAATTTAAGACTTCTGTTTGTCAAAAGACACCATTAGGATATTCAAACGGCAGGCCAAAGAATAGGGGAAATTCACAATACACTTCCCTAACAAAACACTTGTCATACAGATCATATAAACCACAAGACGATTTGAAAAAGAAAATGTTAGGAAATGGCCAAAAGGGAGATACCCTTAATAAACTGGCACCTAAAAAAGTGGATATACAGATGTCCAATAAGCATATAAAAAGGTGCCCAGTTTCATTAGTTATCAGAGACATGCAAATAAAACCATAATGGAATACCACTATATACCTACCCAATGGCTAAAATGAAAAAATACAGAAGATACCAAGTGTAGGTAAGGATATGAAGCAGTGAAAATTTTTATGCACTGCTAATAGAAGTGCAAGTTGGTACAGCCACTTTGGAAATTTGAGAAGAGATAATACCTGTGAAACTTGAACAAATATGGAATACTCCATACCGTAGCCATTCTTCTAGGTGTAGCTCTAGCAAGTATATGTTTGTATGCATATACACTTAACAAACGACATGTACAAAAAAGTTCATAATGCAAACTGGAAACTATCCAAATGCCCATCAAAGGTAGAATGAATAAATTGTGGTTAATTTACATAATGGAATATCCTACAATGATGCAGAGAATCTATAGCTACATACAACAATGTGAATGAATCTGATAAATATAGTGTTAAGTGAAAGAAGACAGAGAATATTTATCTTATGATCTTGTTTATCTAAGTTTCTTAACAGTCCAGGCATGGTAGCTTGCACCTGTAATCCCAGCACTTTGGGAGGCTGAGGTGGGTAGGTCACCTGAGCTTAGGAGTTCGAGACCAGCATGGGCAATATGGTGAAACCCCATCTGTACAAAAAATATAAAAATTAGCAGGGCATGCTGGGTTGTGCCTGTAATACCAGCTGCGTGGGAGGCTGAGGTGGGAGGATCACTTGAGCCCAGGAGGTTGAGGCTGCAGTGAGCCATGATCAAACTTAACAAAAAAAAAAAAAATTGGAGGTATCTACAAAAGTAAATACTACAAGCATGTTTGATCACTGCACCTAAAAAGATGAAGAGAGAGAGAGTGAGGTAGGGGTTAGGGAGGGAAAAGAAAAGAGATTCCGTTAAATGAAGACAAGGGATTGATCTTTAGGCTGAAAATGCAAAGGTCAAGAAGTGAATCAAGTGTTCAAACTATCTGAAAATATATACTACCAGGATAAAATGAACACAGTTTCTTTTTCACTGATTTCCAGCGTGTTTCAATGAAAAAGCACTTCTTGCATTCTCTGCAATGTCTACTGATAACAGTTGAGAATTACTTGACTTGGTAACTAGCTTAAAGAACTCATTACCCCCCCCCCCAAAAAAAACAGTATAATTAGACAAACGTAAAACAGTTCAAAATGTTTGCAAAAATATTGGAAAATCTGGGCTGTACACGACCCTTCATTTATTCATTCAAAAGACATTTACTTAGTGCTTATTTTGTTTTATGCCCTGTAGTCCCAGCTACAGGAATAAAGATGGGGGGTTGGAGGTCATGGAGACGTAGAGGATTCCTCAAGAAAGCAAGCAAGAGGAAAGCAAGGAAGGGATGTGGGATTTGGAGCAGAGGAGTAGTTAGCTATGCCAAGGTAAGAAGTTGGCCAGGTCAGCGATGGGACAACCTAGACCTGCTCCCAAGGCCAGAGTGAGCTGGGTGGCCTTCGGCAGCCCACTTCCATGGTTGGCGGGGCAGTTAACTCCTTTACCCCTAGAGTCATCATTACCTAGGACCTCAAGGCAGCATGTGTGACCTGGAACCTGAAACCAGGACAGAAATCAGATTTCTGACAGAGGCATTCCTGATGGGAATGGGGTTACTGGATAGAGTGAGTGAGCTTGGAAATCTAACTCTCTGGATAAAAGATCTTTCTGTCAACAAGATCCTGAACTTGATCTTATCCACTGTTCCCAATCCAGGGTGATGCCCTCCTCAAACTCTTGCATGTCCTTGGTGAGTTTGAGCTGCAAAGTTCTCTTGTCACCTTTTGTCCTAGACACGTGGGCCGGCAGGCAGAGTACCGTCGCACACACTCGCTGCTGATATCTGGCCTGTTGGCCCAGGTCACCCACTGGAAAGACAAGGCAACTCTAGTTTTGTACAAGTTCTATGACAGTCTATTAACATGTTGCCTTGCAATTCTTGGTGTACTAATAACTGCTGGCTAAAGACATTCCTGACATTAAAAGAACATGCTCTGATTCAGTATTTTACATGTGAGAAACATCTCCAATTACAGAAAATCATTCCTAAGTTGAGGAGAAAATATTTTCCCACTGATGAAATTTATCAAATTGGTATAGAATCTTCTGGGAAGAAAAACAGCAGTGATAAAACTTCAGCTGGGAGCCATATGTTTTTAAAAGCAGCCATTTTAAACTAAGGGCAATATATCAAGTGATAGAGCTGGTTCACTTTGCAGTGTTGTCACACATAATCTGACCTGTGAAATTTTTGGAAAAAAAAAAATGACTGAACTTAGAATATTGCACAGGAAATTGACCTTGTAAACTCACTTGTGAATACTTTCATACGAAGATCATCCTAGGATAATCTTAAAAGAATTATCAGTTGCTCAATATTTTACACTTACGACCGAAAAAGAAAATAGTGTGTAATAGTTAATGAACTGGCCGAAACTTCTCAGTAAAAAGGCATTCTTTTTGCCTGTAGTTTTCTTATATGGCGCACCTTATATTATTTTACAAACCAGTGTTCTTTTAAAGTAGGCTGGATCCTAGCAGGAAATAGATTATTAATTTTTTTCTAAAGTATTAAATCATTTCTACTTTCAGATTGTAATCATTATATGTGTTTTCATAACATATTAAAAGATCTACTCAAATGTCTATCCTGGATAAATGTTTTTTGTGTCCTGAAAGCCCAAGTTAGCATTACTTTGCAGTATAAACAAACCAGTTCTCCAGTTCTAGTTCAATGGCTAAATGCACAAGGACTTATTTGGTATCTTTCTCTTTCTCTCTTTCTCTTTTTTTTTTATAACCACTAATTTTTTTCTATAACACCTATGTTTGAATGTTAACATTCTTGTTTTTCATTAACTGTCCTTTTTTTCAGATTATAAAAGAAACAAAAATTGCTTACAGCCCATCTCCCAAATAGAACCACTTTTACCATTTTGGTGTCTTTGCTTTCAGATTTGAAAAGCAACATTTCCATGAGATTTTTTTTTTTTTTTTTTTTTTTTTGAGATAGAGTCTCACTCTGTCACCCAGGCCGGAGTACAGTGGTGCCATCTCTGCTCACTGCAACCTCCACCTTGTGGATTGAAGCGATTCTCCTGCCTCAGCTTCCTGAGTAGCTAGGATTACAAGCACGCACCACCATGCCCGGCTAATTTTTGTGTTTTCTAGTAGAGACAGGGTTTCACCATGTTGGCCAGGCTGGTTTCGAAGTCCTGACCTCAGGTGATCCGCCTGCCTCAGCCTCTCAAAGTGCCGGGATTACAGGCGTGAGCCCCTGCACCCAGCCTCCGTGTGATTTTAAAACATGTTTTCTCATTATAAAAGGAAGACATGCGCATTCAAGAAATCTGACAAACACACCTGATAAATCAAGATACGATGTCAGCAAAATGCTAGGATCTGAGGAAACAGAACTCATCCATGTGGAGGGTGTAAAGTGACACGGTGTTTAGGAATCCAGCTAGGCAGTGTTTGCTGTTACTGAATTTGTGCGCACTCTCTGAGCTAGAGACTCCATTGCTAGATAACCTTTCCAACAAAACGTATCCTACATGCACATAAGAATAAGGATAGTCACGGAAACGTTGTTTATAATAGAAAAAGCAGGAAAGGGCTTTGTGTCCATCATTCGGGATATAATTGATCTCTATAATTCAGGATGTATATAAATTATGGTACAGCTATATTAGAAATGTGTGCTTATATATTTAATAAATACTAAGCAGCTATTGAGATCAAATGAATAAAAATTTTCGAACAAAGTGTAAGGTAAATCTGTATATACTGATAGTAAAAGATCTGTAAGATGTGGTATAAAATGAAAAATGTAATTTATAAAACAGTATGTATAGTATTACCACATTTATGTAAATGTAAGAAGGATACCTGCACATATATACAAAGAAAAATACGTAGAAAGGGACTGGAAGGATGTGCACAAAACTGTGTCACCTCTGGGCAGGGGAGCAAGAGGACAGTGAGGAGGGAACCTTCCCATTCAGTTCTGTGCCATTGTGGCTTGCCCTGACTCTTTTACAATAAGAATGTGTGCGTTGCTTCTATAATTTTAAAAAGTAAAACTGCACAATGTACTTCTTCATTAATTGTTACAGACCATAATATTTTAAAATACCACATTTTAGATTATAAAACGTATATGTATTATAAAACATTTATAGCCAGGCACGGTGGCTCACGCCTGTAATCCCAGCACTTTGGGAGGCCAAGGCAGGTGGATCATGAGGTGGGGAGTTCAAGAGCAGCCTGGCCAACAGTAAAACCCCATCTCTACTAAAAATACAAAAAAAATTAGCCGGGCATGGTGGCGGGCGCCTGTAATCCCAGCTACTCAGAAGGCTGAGGCAGGAGAATCGCTTGAACCTGGGAGGCAGAGGTCACAGTGAGCGGAGGTCGTGCCATCGCACTCCAGCCGGGGCGACAGTGTGAAACTCCGTCTCAAAACAAAAACAAAAAACCATTTAGATCATACAGGAAAGTATAATTAAGAAAAATCAGAGAAATCCTCTCTCTCCTTGGTGGAATTCTCTTACCATATTTACGAGCCCTAGAGCCAGCCTACTTCCCAAGTCCTCTTTACTCAGCTCCATTTTGAGAGACCTTCTAAACTTGCAAATTCACTATGAAAAAAATATCCCAAGCATGAAGGGCAGAAGCAGCACTGAGACAGAGTGAGCTCAGGACAGTTCTGTTTGGGGAACCTGTTTCTGTTCCTATGGACTCCATCCATCCAGCAACCAACATGCAGAAGGCAAACAGCAAGGTGCTCCTTACTGCTGGTTGTCAAACTGGGATATCTGGTTGCTCTTTCCAAATCGAACTCGTTCTCCTTTACAGTGTGATACTTCTACGCCTACTGCTCTAATAGTAACCACCTTTTCTCACTAGGTTTAAAGTTCTCCAACTAAGTCAGACACTGCCACCTGACTTGACATTGCAATAAAATGATAGTCACTTCATGGAAGCCACCACTAAATATACCAATTACCAGGAAGTATGACAAAATAACAGTGCACATTCTTGGTGGGTCTTGGTGGCTCACACCTGTAATCCCAGCACTTTGGGTGGCCGAGGCGGGCGGATCACCTGAGGTCAGGAATTCGAGACCAGCATGGCCAACATGGCAAAACCCCGTCTTTACTAAAAACACAAAAATTAGCCGGGCCTGGTGGCAGGCGCCTGTAATCCCAGTTACTCAGGAGGCTGAGGCAGAAGAATCGCTTGAGCCTGGGAGGCGGAGGTTGCAATGGGCCGAGATTGTGCCACTGCGCTCCAGCCTGGGTGACAGAGTGAGACGCTGTCTCAAAAAATAAAAATAACAGTGGACATCCTTGACTAAATATGCCGAATTTCTGTTCTCAATCAGCAGCACACTTTAAGAAGGGGTAACTTTTTCTAGAAAGTGCTCAAAATCTCTTTGAAAATATTTTGAAATTGCCTTCAGGAACTGAATCTCCCAAATGGTGACAAATCCTTTCCTTTCGACAGTAGGATTTGTTCACAAAAGTGCCAGCCAGATGCGGTGGCTCACGCCTGTAATCCCAGCCCTTTGGGAAGCCAAGGCGGGCGGATCATGAGGTCAGGAGATCGAGACCATCCTGGCTAACACCGTGAAACCCCGTCTTTACTAAAAAAAAAAAATACACTAAAATTAGCCGGGCGTGGTGGCGGGCGCCTGTAGTCCCAGCTACTAGGGAGGCTGAGGCAGGAGAATGGTGTGAACCCGGGAGGCGGAGCTTGCAGTGAGCCGAGATCATGCCACTGCACTCCAGCCTGGGCGACAGAGCGAGACTCCGTCCCAAAAAAAAAAAAAGTGCCTAACAGAAGTTTGTAGCCAGAGCTGGGGTGTTGGAGCTGGAAACCAGTTAGTGCTGGCACCAAAGGAAAGTTGACCCATTTAATGTTAAGGTGACACCAATACAGCCACACAGGCTGTTTGTGACCAGTGTCCATTCTGAGTGGTCAGTGCTTGTGCCGTTGTCAGTTACTCAAAAATTTGAATTCCACCTCCCCTACCCACCCCAGCAGAGGCCTTGACAATCCTCCTATTTCTTTTTAAAATTTATTATTTTCTTCTTTTGCTACTGTCAGGATCAACCAGGTATGTCCTCTCATGTTTATTAGCCATCCCCAAAGCACCCACAAAACCGTACCACTCTTGTTAAAGAAGAAAAAATCACATGCTAGTTGAATGAATAATTGTTGACTTGCTATTACATGAAAACTCTTTTAGGTTAAATGGATGTGTTTGTTCTACTGTTACCATTCGTACCAAAAGGATTTTTAAGAATACCCTTTTTAAAAGAATTAATTTTTATAGCTTAAAACAATTAAGACAATAATTCATGACTCTTGAAAACATTTAAAAACCCAGTGATTACTTTGTTCAGATCCATGAGCAAACAAAGGGTGGGGCTGAAGGCTAAAGGGTTAATTCTGGGTTTGAGTTGTGAGCAGTTTCTTCAAATGTTTCTCTGTGTGTTGAGTTAACACCAGGTTTCAGAAAAGTAGGCAGAACATGATCAAGAATGAGAGAGGAAAAAATAGACATTTTAAAGCAGCAGTGGGGACTCAGCTGCCTACACACTCCTCCGTGGTCCTGAGCAACGGGAAAAGGGGTCCTGGGGCTGGGACCTGCCAAAACAGGGAACAAGAGTTCAGATCGCTAGTCCACCGTGGGCGTGGCTAGCCCAGGCCAGACTGGTTTGAGAAGCCAATGAGGCCAGTGATATTGCTGGCCCTGGTAAATAAGAGAGCTCAGAACCTTAGAAAATTAACATGTGTTCCATAAAATGCATTCTTCCAACAATCAACCAAGATCTGCAGGATAGAGTGCTCAAAAGCAAACTAGATGGGCTATTTTCTGTATTCCAACACTGAAAAAGAGTTGTAATAATGATTTATTTTTTGTTTGTTCGTTTTTTTAAGAGGCAGGGTCTGGCCCTCTCACCCATGCTGGAGTGCAGTGATGTGATCATAACTCACTGCAGCCTGAAACTCCTGGGCTCAAGCGATCCTTCCACCTCAGCCTCCCAAATAGCTGGGACTACAGGGGTGATATGACACCCAAAATGCTGAAACAGAGATGCGTAACTTATTTTATTTTACAGCATGTATATTTCATGGTCTCAGTTTGGTTGTGGTTTCATGTGCCAAATTGCACTAGAACAACAAAAGCATGGGCACTGTTTTCACATAGGGGATACAAGAAGCAGTGTGTGTCCTGTTAAGCTTGTGGGTCCTGATCCTAAATGAAATGATCAAAATTCATCTTCTTTTTTTTTTTTTTTTTAAAGAAAGGTGAGGTCTTGCTATGTTGCCCAGGCTGGCCTCAAACTCCTGGGGTCAAGCAGTCCTCCTGCCTGGGCCTCCAAAGTGCTGGGTTTACAAGCATGAGCCACCCAGCCCACCCAAGATGAACTATGTTCAAATCCTGTTTGTTAAGTGTGATCTTTAGCGGGTTACTTAACCTAAGATTCAATTCATCTGTAAAACAGAAATAATATAAAACATAATAATACATAATTCCTACTTCACAGAGTTGCTGTGAAGATTAATATGAAATACTGCATGTGAAGAACATGGCTGTTATTTTGGCTCCTAATTGTTAAAAATATTGGTCATGGCCGAGCACAGTGGCTCACGCCTGTAATCCCAGCACTCTGGGAGGCCGATGCAGGCGGATCACCTGAGGTCAGGAGATGAAGACAATCCTGGCTAACATGGTGAAACCCCGTCTCTACTAAAAACACAAAAAATTAGCCAGGTGTGGTGGCAGGCACCTGTAGTCCCAGCTACTCAGGAGCCTGAGGCAGGATAATCACTTGAACCCGGGAGGCAGAGGTTGTAGTGAGCCGAGACTGCGCCACTGCACTCCAGCTTGGGTGACAGAGCGAGACTCCATCTCAAAAAAAAAAAAAATTGGTCATTAACATATGGCCGGGCGCAGTGGCTCACGCCTGTAATCCCAGCGCTTTGGGAGGCTGAGGCGAGTGGATCACCTTAGGTCAGGAGTTCGAGACCAGCCTGACCAACATGGAAAAACCCCATCTCTGCTAAAAATACAAAATTAGCCAGGCACAGTGGTGCATGCCTGTAATCCCAGCTACTCGGGAGGTTGAGGCAGGAGAATTGCTTGAACCTGGGAGTCCGAGGTTACGGTGAGCCGATATCGCACCATTGCACTCCAGCCTGGGCAACAAGAGCAAAAAACTCCACCAAAAAAATGTATATATGTATTATGGATTTTGTAAAAACAATATCTGTACAATTCTGGCATAACAGAAAGGCAAAACAATGACAAAACAATTTTCTTTATTACATAGAAATACTAGGCTCACTCTAGAAAGGGACATGAGTACAATAGTAGTGAATGGTGATCTTTCTAAAAGCATTGTCAAGGTAATTCTTCTAAGCATTGCCTAAACATGTTCAGTATGAAGAATTTTATCTTCTGTGGCAGGAGTACCAGGCATCTCTCTTTCCTAAGATAGTTTCTTTAACTCTTAGCTCTGTCAGTTTCTAAAAACTGAGCTGGAACAATGTCAGAAGCTGGCCTTTGTTACCAGTGTTTCTTCCCTCACACTGCATTCTAGTTTTCACCTGTTGTCCCTTGGATCTTCCTGTGAACATGGCCATGTAACTTTGCAGTCCCTCCCGCCCGGCAGTGAGGTCTATTTCCTCACACTATGAATGCTGGGCTTGGCCCTATGACTCAGTTTAGCCAATGGCATGTCAGGGGACGTGATACAAGCAAAGGCTTGAAATGCATCTGCACATTTGGCTTGTCCTCTTACCCTCTCACAGCCCTGCCATTGCCATAAGAAAAACAAGTCCCAGCCAGCCTGCTGGTCCAAGAAGAGTGAGACAGGCCTGGAACCAACCTTCAGTGTGGAGTCATGCCCAGTCAAGCCCAGGCTAGACCAACTGACCTGCAGTCACAAGTGATAACACCTTTGCTGTTTAAACTAAGTTTTGGAGGGGTTTGTTACACAGCAGTACTAACTGATAAATATCCAACCCTGTCACCTTTGGTATACTGTAGATAAAGCTGTTTTTAAAAAAAAGTAATAATCTGGCTGGCCACAGTCACTCATGTCTGTAATCCCAGCACATTGGGAGGCTGAGGCAGGAGGATCATTTGAGGTCAGGAGTTTGAGACCAGCCTAGGCAACATAGCAAGACCGCAGTCTCTAAAAAATGAAAGTAATAATCCACAAATATATACATAAATGCATATGAAGTAGTATGTAAATTTATAGAAATACATATAATTAAATTTATTGGAGGAGAATATGCTAACTTAATTCAGTGGCTTTTTCCTTCCTTGATATTTTTAAATGGTTTATCTTTGAATACAATAGAAGTTGATTTTAAAATTCCAAGTGGTTTACTTGTCCAAATAGGCTTTTTTTCTTTTTTTTCTTTTGTTTTTCTCATAGAGACAGGGTCTCATTATGTTGCCCAGGCTGGTCTCAAACTCCTGGCCTAAAACGATCCTCCCACCTCAGCCTCCCAAACTGCTGGGATTACAGATGTGAGCCTCCATGCCCAGCCAGCTTTTTTACAACACATAAAAAATATAATGCAAACAGCTGGGCATAGGTTTAAATTTTTTGGCTGAGCACAGTGGCTCACACCTGTAATCCCAGCACTTTGGGAGGCCGAGGTGGGCAGATCACAAGGTCAGGAGCTTGAGACCACCCTGGCTAACACGATGAAACCCCGTCTCTACTAAAAATACAAAAAATTAGCCGGGCATGGTGGTGGGCGCCTGTAGTCCCAGCTACTCGGGAGGCTGAGGCAGGAGAATGGCATGAACCCTGGAGGTGGAGCTTGCAGTGAGCCGAGGTCATGCCACCGCACTCCAGCCTGGGCAACAGAGCGAGACTCTGTCTCAAAAAACATATATATAGAGAGCAAACAAAAACATTTATTTATTTATTTATTTTTATTTTTTGAAACAGAGTCTTGCCCTGTTGCCCAGGCAGGAGTGCAATGGCACGATCTCGGCTCGCTGCAACCTCTGCCTCCCAGGTTCAAGCGATTCTCCTGACTTAGCCTCCCAAGTAGCTGGGACTATAGGCGTGCACTGCTACGCCTGGCTAATTTTCGTATTTTTGGTAGAGATGGGGTTCCACCATGTTGGCCAGGCTGGACTAGAACTCCTGACCTCAAGTGATCCACCCACCTTCACCCCCAAAAGTGCTGGGATTACAGGTGTGAGCCACCGTGCCCGGCCAAAAAATTTAAACCTTAATAAATGAGTTGCTCTTTTATACCTGTATGCAGGCAATATGATGAAATAGTACAAGAATTTTATCAAGTTATAAATGCTTGTTTGGTTACTAACCTGAGTGATAAAATAATCTGTACCAGAAACCCCTATGACACGAGTTTACCTATGTAACAAACCTGCACCTATACCCCTGAATCTAAAATTAAAGTTTAAAAAAAAAGAAAAAGAAAAAGAAATCTTTGGAGCAGAAAAGCATAGAAACAATGTCCATGTCAGTTGGAAGTAGAGGTGTAGTCTCTGCCTATATAACTATTTCCATTCATTGAGTATTACAGACCAAAAATAAGATAAAATCCACTCTTTTTTATATCAGGAGGAATACCATTTAAACGCAGGTGATCACTCTATTCACTCCTGATTTTTCCCTTGCACTTCCTGCAGGCGTAGTTAGAAGACTAGCAAAATAATATAGTTCGCAGAATTCATTGAAAAACATCATCTAGTGGTACTTTTTAACAGAATCAATTTATTGTATTTTAAGCCATAAAAGATTATTCACTGTATCCACTGAGGCCCACATTTGACTGCAAGTAGCAGAAACCCTCTACTAACTATAGCTTAAGTCATAAGGATGGTTTACTCTTTACTTAACAAGAAACTCAGAGAAAGTCCATATCAGGATTGGTCTGCCAGCTTCATAAAAACTCATTAGACTCAGGCTCTTTCTGTCTTCTCATTTTGCATATTGGCTTATCATCCTCATGCGTGTACTCATGGTTGCAAGGTGGCTGCTGTAGTTCCAAGTATCACATGCAAATTCAAGGCAGAAAGAAGGGGAAGGGACTGAGTCAGCCCCTACTTTATCATGTATCAAGAAAGCAGAAGCTCTCCAGAAGCCTCCCTGAAGACTTCTCTGCATCTTATTGGCAAGAAAGGCAACACATGTCCATGGAACACATGTCCTAGCTTAAAGGGCAGCTGGGATATTTACAAGGAAAGAGAATGAGCTTGTCATGATTTCAAATATCAAGAATGATCTCCTCAGGCTGGGCACACTGTTGTCCTGAGCAAAGTCAGGGTTCTGTTAGCAGAAAGAAGAGAGGAAATGACTCTAAGGTACCCAAGCATCATCTGCACGTTGCCTTAGCTGCCCTTAAACACATTGCCTTCTCAATCTAATGGAAGCAGGAAAACAGAAAACACAGAATTGTGATTTTACCTTTTTGAGGGAAGTGGGGATACCTGAGCTTCTTTGAGCATCTGAGTAAGCAACAGACACTAATTCACCCCCAAATTTTCCAACAAGGAATTTTGGGGGATGTCCAGAGCTCCTAAAACCCATCTGTGGGTGACTACATGAAGAAGGCCGACCTAAAGTCAGCCCAGTCTTTCAACCTGGTCTTCCATAGTATACAGCTCCTGGGTTGTTCTGCTTTTTCCAGTTGGTTGTGTTGTGAGTCTGTTGGTTGCTGATTCTGTAAGAGGTAGTATAATTCCTTCTCTCTGTAACTGAGCTTGTAACTGGAAAAAATGACAATGCCTAAAATCGTATAACAAGAAAAATGGAATTTTCACTATTTCATGGTTCATTATGTTGAAAATAAAAAGACCAAAAGTTAAAAACTGAGTTCCTATTTCAAAGCACTATCAAACATCTAATTGCAAAATATTATATACAGGAAACTGCAGGGGTCTAATCCCTGCTGACAAAGAATTTATAATCTGAGACAATCTAGTGATAATCTCACTTGGGTTATCAAATGGGGGCAGGGCAGCAGATAATATTAAGTTATTAAATAAGGTAAGATTACTTTTAGAAGTATAAACTATTTTGAAAATGCAAAGTTCTGAAATAAGTCCAAACTCCATATTCTGACAAGTAAAATCAGAGATTGCCAATGTCTCTAATTATATCTGCTAAACAGATAGTGTACATACTTTGATTATGAAATAATGACATTGATTCTCAGGCGTGATTTGCAGAAATCAGTATCCTTACTTTGCAAACACACTTGGTAATGTGAGACAAATTTCTGGCAGCAGAATGATGATTCAAAATTCATTCTTAGGCAGAGAGAAAAGTATATAAAGGGAGTAGAACAAAAATTGTGGGAAATATGTGAAAATAATTTTTTTTTTGACTGGAGTAGGATAATTTGCTTTTCCATTTTATTTCCTTGTCAGTCCCAGTAAAGCAGTATCACGTGCAACTTTGTGCTTTTTTAAATATCTAAGCTTCTGGTTCAACTCTTCACATTGCTTCTCTAACAACAGACATTCTCCATGGCTCGTTTTCTTGCTTTCTGCTGAATTCTGTACTTTGTACTATTAATAGTTTTGATTTTGTGAAGACCTGAATCATTCTGTAAGCAGCTATGAAATATCTCCCGTGGCTTTCTGGCCTGGGGCAGATGGGAAAATTAACTCCAAGGAGAAAAGAGCACCCTAAACTGCCTTTTCTCAGGCAGACAGCCATTGATGTGATTTCAGTGAAAACCATCAAGCTGAAACATCAATATTCCTCCACCCTTGGTCCACAGAGCAGGCAGGGCTCATTAGCAAGCAGAGCCTCAGCTGGGTTCCATCTTGGGCCGGTCTGGGCTAAGGTTTCAACCCGGAGGCTGTGAGATCCTGTTTCCTCCACGTCTGAGCCCAGTTACCTAACCAGGTGCTTGTTGGAGGCTGCCTGCAATTGCAGCCCTTACTTTGGCCTCTTATTTCCTTCTGGCTCAGCCTCTAGCTCGACTCCAGCTGGCCTAGGTTGCTCCTGAGCACCAGTGGAATTGAGATAAATCACCCCAACCTTTACAGGCCTTCTTCGTAGGATGGAGAAAGGTCTGGGTCCCTGGGAAAACCGTAAAAATTGCCCTCTAAACATAATCAAAACTACAGTAACTTCACATCTATTTTTTCTTTTTGTATTTCATCCATGCTTTCTTTTTTCCCTTTTGTGACACAAATTTTTAGCAGAAACCTGACATTCTAGTAATCTAAAAGCTATTTTACTGTGGTATTAAAGACGTCCTATATAACAGAACTTGTGGTTCGTTTCATGAAAATTTATTTCCATACATACGAACTAACAATTTCAAAAACTCCAATGCATATAAAATTAATAAACCTGAACACTGCTTCACAGAACAACCATGGTGAAATCTACAAATTGAAATCGCTGTTGCAGCCCAGATATATGCACATTTTAAAGCCAGATGGCTTTCCTAACCAAATAAATGTCAGCCCTATAGTGAGAGGTCTTAGTACAAGGGTGGGAGGCACTGTAAGGACAAGTTCAGGCGTTGTTTAGGGTATCTGGGTTAAAACAACAGCAGAAGGTCAAGAGTTAGGTCCGTGGAACTATCCTGACGGGACAGACCAGAGTGGGCAAGATTCAGAGTAACCAAAGACGGCTCAGGTAGGAGAGAACCCTGGAGAAGAGACAGAGGGGGAACCAGCAACTACTGAGCACTGGATATATGCCAAGTGTTTACTGCTTGCTCTACATATATCAATTCTTTTTTTTTTAATTCATTTATTTTTTTTGAGATGGCATCTCACTCTGTTGCCAAGGCTGGAGTGCAGTGGCGCAATCTCTGCTCACTACAACCTCCGCCTCCCAGGTTCAAGCAATTCTCGGGCCTCAGCCTCCTGAGTAGCTGGGACTACAGGCATGTGCCACCACGCCTGGCTACTTTTTATATTTTTAGTAAAGACAGGGTTTCACCATGTTGGCCATACTGGTCTCAAACTCCTGACCTCAGGTGATCCGGCCACCTCAGCCTCCCAAAGTGCTGGGATCACAGGCCTGAGCCACCGCACCTGGCCTCAGTTCATTTAATCTCATGTTTAGCATGTGAGGGGGGTAGGTCTCCCCTTTTACACGTGGAGAAACTGGGTTGTATGGGAATTCCTTGGTCAGAAGCCTCCAGCCTATGAGTCCTCCGATGGTATAGATCCTATTCTCCATTTTATTTCCATCGTTCTGCACTGTGCCTTATACATAGAAGGCACTTAATAAACACTTGTTGCATAAGCAACCCTCCCTGACTGTCTTCCTGGTGAAACCTACCTGTTGGAGCAGATGGTACTGGACTTTAACAAGACTTAAGTAATTAAGGGTGCTCTGTTTCCTTTGAGTCTGGGGATCATTCATAAGCCTCCAGTGCCCTGATACAAATCAGGACCACATGCTCTGGACACATCTGAGTCTGAGCCGGTGTATTCACATCACGAAGGGGCTCCTAAGGTCAGGATCCTGGTTCGGCAGTCCAGGCTCTACAGTTGGTATCTCAATCTCACTTCATCCATTTTCTCTAAGCAAGGGAAGCACATGACATCTAGTATCTTCTCTCCATCTGACTTATTGCCCTCCCCACTCCTGGTGTCTTAGCAATCATATTGTGTCCTGTCTCACCAGGAACGTTTGATAAGATCATTCAGAACAAATGCAGATCACCAAAGGGATTATAGTTCTATTAATTTTGATTTTACATCTACGTTAGTCAAATTGATTCCTTCTGGGCTGAGATCTATGTGCATTTCACAATCGCTGTAACAGAAAACAGATCATCTTTTCATTTTCTGCTGTGACTTATTCAATTATACCTCTTTGCATCTAGAAAAAGCAAAAAGATTGTTTCTCAAAACAACTGAGCAGCTGAGGTGACTATCCGCGATTATGTGGGGTGATCACCAGTTTCCTTACAGCTGATGCCATCAAGTTTTTGGTGCTCCCTACCCACTTCCAACACCAACACACACACACACACACACACCCCACCTCCACCACCCCGTTTCAGTCCTTAAAGGGTCCTATAGCATATATTAAACTAATTTTTGTTTTACTTTTCAATTTTGAAAAAGTTATAGACTGAGAAAAAAAGTTGGCAAAATAGTACAAAGAATTCCCATATATCCTTCACCCAGATTCCCCATTGTTAACATTTTACCACACTGGCTTTAGCATTCTTTCTTTCTCACCCTCTGTTTCTCTCTCTTTTTTTTTTTTTTCCTTTTTTTTTTTGAGACAGTCTCGCTCTGTCACCCAGGCTGGAGTACAATGGCACCATCTTGGCTCACTGCAACCTCAGCCTCCCGGGTTCAAATGAGTCTCCTGCCTCAGCCTCCTGAGTAGCTGGGACTATAGGCGTGCACCACCATGCCTGGCTAAGTTTTGTATTTTTAGTAGAGAAGGGATTTTGCCATATTGATCAGGCTGGTCTTGAACTCCTGACCTCAAGCCATCCACCTGCCTCGGCCTCCCAAAGTGCTGGGATTACAGGCATAAGCCACCACGCCCAGCCATGTGTGTGTATTTGTAATATGCATGAATACACAGTATCAAAACACAACTAGTCAGTTCAGCTAAAGGATAAACCAGTATTTCACGTTTCTACACACTAGATGTATCGCACCACAAAGCATAAGGCATCACACTAAATGCCAAGCCATACAAGAATTGTCTTGTAGACAGCACATGGGGTGAGAATGATTTGCTCCCTCCCCAGACCTTGGAAATAAGAGGAAACAGATGTCTCCAAAGAGGTAGGCTGGGAAAATCAGGTGGATCAAAACAAGCCTCCCGCAAAGGACTCACTCAGCTTTATATGCACATATCCGGCAGCCTGCCCGGGGTCCACACCTGTGGGCTGCGGGTCCTCCTGTGTTCCCTGCTCTACTTGGTGACACTGCCACAATTTCCTGGACTCACCCTCACATTTTCTTTCATCTCCAGCTTCCAGTCAGTTACCCAATTCTGCTCATCTTAGGACCTATTTCTCAAATCCCGGATTGGGGGCAGGGCTAGAGACCACTCCGGAGATGACAGAGCAGTCCCAGTGAGAGACAGAATGAGGGCCTTTTATTTGGAAGGGCTTATTCAAAAGACACCCAAAGGTGAGAATTTAAGGAGACACCATCCAGGAAGCTACCCTGCTAAGGTCTTATGTGTGTGTGGTGTGGTTGTTTGCTGTTACACTGTATCTTGTGAGATTAGTGCTAGCTAGTGTAATAGCTTGGTGTGTAAGGAATTTGGGAAGTGGAATTCTAAATGGATAGCCTGCCACCACCATGAAAGCCCCTTACAGGAACCACCCAAGTCCCCTGGCAGTTTGTCAGAGTGAAGGAAAAGACCCCAGAAAGCGGCACTCGGGAACAGCCAGCAGAACTCACCGGCCAACCCCTAGGAATCTACCTACACTCATCTCCAAATTGCCAAGCAATATCTACACATTTTGTTGCATTAAAGGTGAGCGTTAAGCACAGATGTGTGGGATAATCATTGTTTGTAGACACTCTGAATAAGATCAAGCCTGAACCAGAAAGGAGTTGTGATGAGGATGAGAAGAGAGAAATTCTAAACTCTAAAGACGAAACGGGCTGAACTCAGTGACTGAATGGGAGAAGGAGCAGGATGAGCAGAGGGAGGAAACCTGTCCTTGTTGAGCCTCTGCTATTCGCCAGGTGCTTGTCGGATACTTTCCATATTTAACAGTATTGATGCGAGACAGCCATCATTCCTCCCATTCTGTGGATGAAATATTGACTTTCAGAGAGGTGAAGTGATTTTCCCAGGATCACACAGCTAACAAGGAATAGGACTGCCTGATAACTTGTATCCTTATTCCTTTTTTTCTTTTTAAGTAGTACAATTTAGTCTTCGAATGAATTTTTAAACAAAAGACCAACATGAAAACAGATCAGCTCTGGTCGAAAAGCGGTGAGGGAAAAGGCAAAACTAAGGAGACGGTGAAAAGATCAGCAGGTGCCAGGATCTGGGAGGAGGCAGGGACAGAGCCCAGAGGATTTTTGAGGCAGTGAAACTACTATTATGACTCAACCAAGAGTATTCCCTAATTAACCTATGGCCTGTGGGTGATAATGACATGTGATGTATCTTCATCAATCGTAACAAACGCACCGCTCTGATGCAAGATGTTGATGGTGTAGGAGGCTGGGGGAGTGGGGCAAAGGGCAGGGAGTATATGGGAAGCTTCCACTTTCTACTGAATTTTGCTGTGAACCTAAAAAGGCTCTAAAAACATAAAGTCTGTTTAAAAAAAAATTAAATAAGGGGTCCAAAGTTTCCCCCCCTTCTTAACTCACTCCTCCCTTTGGGTGGTCCCTGATGCCACCAAAGGTCTTCAAGGGCTTGAACATGTACAATATGAAAGCCACTGCCCCGGCTGGGCACTGTGGCTCACACCTGTAATCCCAGCACTTTGGGAGGCCGAGGCAGGCGGATCACCTGAGGTCAGGAGTTCAAGGCCAGCCTGGCCAACATGGTGAAACCCCGTCTCTACTAAAAATACAAAATTTAGCCGGGCGGGGTGGCAGGCACCTGTAATCCCAGCTACTCAGGAGGCTAAGGCAGGAGAATTGCATGAACCTGGAAGGTGGAGGTTGCAGTGAGCCGAAATCATGCCACTGCACTCCAGCCTGGGTGACAGAGTGAGACTCCAGCTCAAAAATAACAACAACAACAAAAAAAAGCCACAGCCTCACAATCCCCCACCCCCACCCCACAAGGAGAGCAAGAACCCAAAAGCAGCCCTCTCCAAATGGTTGCTGCACCATTCTCTCTTCTAAGCACCTGTTTCTGGCACCCTTCTAAGCAGCCTTTCTTTCTTCTAAACATCCTCCCCCAAACAGGTAGCAGGAATCTGTCTTCCAGAGGGTGGTCCTTGCAGGTGCTAGCACCACCTGAGACCTTCCAGCTCATAAAAAGCTCACCTACCCTGTCAGAGGAAAGGGAACCAGATAACCAAGATGGTCCAGCCTCACTGCTGCAGCCTCCAGGGGCCTCCTCAGGCCCACACAGTGGGAAAAAGAATATCTAAAGACAGAGACATGACACAAATGGCTCCAAGACTCAGAGCTCCCACACCTCCTACAGTTCAGAAAGGAGAAAGAAAGAGGGGGAATACAGAAGTTTTCACAGCTCCATCTCTCAAGACTGCAGGCATCAACAGCCAACACAATGCTGACCCCCAGAAAGCATTTAACAAAGGCATGCTGACTAAGGAATTGCTAGGTGCTTCAGGGAGAATCTTTCCCCATCAGCTAGGGGATCACTGAACATAGTATAACAGTTGTAACAAATGATTCCAAGCAGGGAGAGGAAGTATCTCTTCCAGTCTCCTGAGCTGTGATTCAGGGGTGATGAAGATTCTGGGGGGAAAACTGGTTTGAAGAAGCCCTCCTTGTCATATAGAACCCTTGGGGGCTGCAGTAGCTCTTCTGGGTCCCAGTATATCAGTAACTGTCCTGAGGAATCATGTTTTCTACAACCTAATCTTGTTAATCAATATGAACAGAGGGGCCGGTCATGGTGGCTCAGGCTTGTAATCCCAGCACTTTGGGAGGCAGAGGCGGGTGAGGAGTTTAAGACCAGCCTGGCCAACATGGTGAAATCCCATCTCTGCTAAAAATACAAAAATTAGCAGGGCATGGTGGCATGCACCTATAGTCCCAGCTACTCAGGAGGCTGAGGCAGGAGAGTCGCTTGAGCTTGGGAGGCGGAGCTTGCAGTGAGCCTAGATCGTGCCACTGCACTCCAGCCTGGGTGACAGAGTGAGACTCCATCTCAAAAAAAAAAAAAAAAAAAAAAAAAAAAAAAGAACAGAGGGAAGCAATGGCTCCGAATATCTCAAATAACTTTCTAAATCCACTAATATTTTGGCTTAACAGTGAATTACATGATTTCTAGTAGGTTCACATTCACTTATCCTATTAAACATTGTTGAGCTGGATTGTATGTTCCAATCATGGCTCAGCACTTTCTCCCAACTCACATGCTTTTCTGCATTCACCTTGCTACACCTCCTTAATGGGTTTGACTAATAGAAGGTAGCAGAACAGATGCCACACCCATTCCCAGCCAGGGCCTTACTGGCACAGCAGTCTCTACTTCCTGCCTCTTTGGAGTGACACTGCCATGCTTTGATAATTCCACACCACAGAGAGGCCATGAGCTGGTCCACACCCTAGCTGAGCCCCCAGCCAGTGACGGCATCAACTGCAGCCATGTGAGTGCATCATCTTGGATGCAGCCCTGTTGAGCCTTCAGGTGATGCCAGCTCCAGCCACTCTCTGCAGTACCCTGAGTGAGAAGGACTCCAGTGAGCCCAGTCAACCCAACAGAGACATGAGAGGTGTATTTGTTTGCTGGAGCTGCTATAACAAGGTATCACGCTGTGTGGCTTAAAACAGCACGATTTCATTGTGTTACAGTTCTAAAGGCTAACAGTCTAAAATCAAGGTGTTGGCAGGACCATGCTCTTTCTGAGGGCTCTAGGGGAGGACCCTTTTTTCGTCTGTTGCAGCTTCTGGTAGCCCCGGGCATTCCCTAGTTTGTGGCAGCATCACTCCAATCTCTGCCTCAATCTTCATGTGGCCGTCTTCTCCCTGTGTCCAAATTTCCCTCTTCTTATAATGACATCAGTCATACTGGATTAGCACCCCCACCCCCCAATGACTTCATCTTAATTTGATTACATCACAAAGACCCTATTTCCAAATAAGGTCCCCTTCACAGATACAGTAGTGGAGGTCAGGGCCTCAACATGTCGTTTTGGGGGATACAATTCAATCTATAATGAGAGATCATGGTATAATGAATTGTTGTCTCTCCATTTTGGAGAAGTTCATGATGTAACAGAAGAAGCCAGTACACTGGCTGACATTCCTCCAGTGCATACCTGGTCATGCCAGGGACACAAGCTGGATGTCTAAGGGTGCTTAAATCATAGCTGCCAGTCTATGATTTAAAAGTGCAGGTTACTGAAACATATTGCTCAGAAGTTTGCGTGACTTGGTTTTCATATAGAGTTGTGTGTTGTTTTTTTTTTATAAGGTGTTCTGTTCATTAATCTCTGTGTAATTTTTTTTTTAATTCAAGATCTTTACTCTAAACCTGTTCTCTATAAAGAGCAATGGCCGGGAGTCAGAGGATGTGTGTCTGTCCCTGACTAACTGCATGATCTCAGGCAAATCCAAGTCTCTCTCGGGATTAGCTTCGTTCATTCAGCACCTTTTTACTAGAATCCTGAAATACGTTTGAGGTGAAACGGGATTTAGGGGTTCATACAGCCCAGCCCCTAACTTTACAGATCAGGAAGCTGAGCCCTGGGGAAGTTAAGGGGCCTGCCTGGTCCTCAACCGGTTGTATTCTGATAGTATTCACCTGTAAAATGTGTTTGGAACACAGTTTCTCAAAGGTTCTTTCCAATTGTTAAACTGAATTTGATTCTTAAACTGTGGATCTGTATTTTACCCATTTCAAATTAAAAGAAAGATACTACATTCGATTCAGCTGAATGCATTTCTGAGGCTCAGAAATTATGACTGCAAAATCATGTCACCACAATTTCCTTTACTTTGATGCTTATGAATTAGGAAGCCAGTGAATAGAAAGTTTCATCAAACCATCAAAAGCTAAAATGATTTATTTCTGTACTTTCAGTGTTCATGACTTTGAAGGTTCTGTTTTTACTAATCTTAGCAATGTCTTCATACTTTTAAAAGCCCCCAAAATACCTGGTTATGGCAAAGTTGAGTCACAGGGCTCATGTGCAATAAAGCTCAGCCCTGGAAAGTGTACCCATGCCTGGTTTAATAGCAAAAGGTAATATGAGACTAACATACCAAAAAAGGGTGAGTGTTCACTCGTAAGTCATCTCCTGTGAAATAGGAAGAAATCTTAAATGTCGTTTGGATATGTGTTGGGGTTGTTTCTTTGAAACATACATCTGATTCGTTCTCCAATTATGCCTGGTCCCAGAGTCTAAGGCTTTAACAATCTGCAGGAACATTTATGTGAATGAATTGCTTTTAGAAATGAAAGGCACATTGTATAAGATATAAGATAGTGACATAAGCATGTGCGGGGTAAAAAGACATTTTTATAGTGTATCATGGGAAGTCTTGGATAACTGGGATTAACATGCAGGGTTTAAGACCGTTATGTTCTGCCATGGTAGCAAAACCTGATAATACGAATTAAAATGAACAATCGTAAAATGCAAACATGTTTGCCACATAATCAGGGCGTAAGATCAATCATGTTGGCTCTGCTTGTTGAGTATCTGTGTCAGGAGCCCACATGGAAACAGAAAGGAATGATTCTTTGTTCCTGGGCAGAGGAATAGCTTCTGCCACTCTGTTCCCAAATCTTTGTTAAATTATTTGTTGATGGTTCATCTCCTCGTCTAGGCTGTGAGTGTCTGTGGGAGAGAAACTGTCTTAATTCTCTTCATTATCAGGGCCTGCCTGCACCTTGTGTACTAAAGGTGGCCAAGAGCCATATCTCCAGGCCCTGCCTGGCAGCAGAAGCAGTGGCGGGACTGCGATGGGAGAGGTGGCTGCAATCCTGGGGGGCTTGAGACAGACAGATTCTGCCCCCAGAAAGCTACCGGTAGTTAACAGGTGTGTTCTGTAGCCATACCTCTCCCCACCCAGCCCTGTCTTCGGTGCAATGCCGTTCATGCCTCGGTGCTGTCCAGGGAAGCTCTGGCCTCAGTGGCTGCAAGTCCTCAGCTTCCCGCAGCCTCCCCCGCAGCACCTGCTGCGGACTCAGACAAACCAAGAGCACTGAGTTTTCGGAGATTGAGAGCATGACTCACACATTCCAATTATGACACAGAGGGAAGTATTCTCAAGAAAGAGAGCTAGGGAAGTAAAGACTTTATTGGGCCCCTGTTTGGGCACACTACCATGTGGCCCCCTCTGGTGCCACCTGCCAAGGGCCTTTCCCCGCTGATGGGAGGGTCTGCCCCTGGCCTTGCCCAGGCATTTCTGCACCTCCTCCACTGAGGCCAGCATTCCAGCTGGGCCCACAGCCACCCTTCACCCCTCTCCCAGTTCCTAGAACAGGAACACGCTGTTGTGGTTCCCTGCAGCAAGTCAGGTGCCAGGTGCATGGGCCCCACTGCTCCGGGTCTGGACAGGAAGGCAAGGACCAGCTGGACAGTTACTTTTTAAGGTGAAGGTGGAATTTGTTGGGTGACATCCCCCCAGTAGTTCCTGCCAATGCCTGAGCTGACTGCACTGTGGCTACCTTATAACTCAGACTAGAAGCTCCTTTGTGAATCGTCTTTTCCCCTCCTCCCTGATCATTTTTATTTAATACCCGTGAACAAATGGGAGCCTAGTTCTGCTTTTCTTTTTTTTTTTTTTCTTTTTTTTTTTGAGATGGAGTCTGGAGTGCAGTGGTGCAACCTTGGCTCATTACAACCTCCGCGTCCCGGGTTCAAGCAATTCTCCTGCCTCAGCCTCCCAAATGGCAGGGACTACAGGTGCCTGTCACCATGCCCCACTAATTTTTGTATTTTTAGTAGAGATGGGATTTCACCATGTTGGCCAGGCTGGTCTTGAACTCCTGACCTCAGGTGATCCACCCACCTCAGCCTCCCAAAGTGCTGGAATTACAGATGTGAGCCACCATGCCCAGCCTGCCACTGCTTTATATTAAGGGCATCTAGTAGGGGCCCAGTCAATATCAGTGAAACCAACGAAGCGATTCCTAACATTTGCATCACACTTTCCACTTTACAAAGCAGCTTCCTGGAATCGTCTCTGAAGAGTTAGGACCTGCCCTTCACTCAGGTACCTGGCAGTTCAAAGTTCCTGGTGAGCCCCACTCTTCGGAGAAGGAGGAGGAAATGTGAGGGGTGTTGCCTCGGGCTCCACTGCAGAAATAAAAAGACTGAGAAGAACGCTCTGGGGCTCTCAGTGACCTTTGACGGAGAGGTTCAACTATCAGGTGCCTCTGTGGGTTAGGCGCTCTCCATACCAAAAATCACACTTATCCTCGCACAGCCATAGGAAGAGGGCATTATCCCCACTCCACAGAGGGGAAAATGACAGTCTGAAGATATTAAATAGCTTTCCCAGCCTTGCTCAATGACTCACGCCTGTAATCCCAGCACTTTGGGAGGCTGAGGCGGGAGGATCATTTAAGGTCAGGAGTTCAAGACCTGCCTGGGCAACATAGTGAGACACCTCCCCCCACCATCTCCACCAAAAAAAATTTTTTTTTAATTAAAAACCAGGCCAGGTGCAGTGGCTCACGCTTATAATCCCAGTACTTTGGGAGGCTAAGGTGGGTGGGTCACCTGAGGTCAGGAGTTTGAGACCAGTCTGGCCATCATGATGAAATCCCATCTCTACTAAAAATACAAAAATTAGCGGGGCGTGGTGGCACACACCTGTAGTCCCAGCTACTTGGGAAGCTGAGGGAGGAGAATCACTTGAACCAGCGAGTTGGAGATTGCAGTGAGCCGAGATCATGCCACTACACTCCAGCCTGGGTGACAGAGCAAGACTTCGTCTCAAAAAAAAAAAAATCAAATTAAAAGATTTTTTAAAAATAGCTTTCCCAAGCTCACACAGCTAAGAAGTAACAAAGCTAGGCTTTAAGCCCCAGTCCTGCAGACTGCAGAGAATAATTTATGTTTCATTTGATTACATCACTAAGCTTCATTCCCTTGTGCTCATTCTTATTTTGTTTATCCAGAAGCCTTACAAAGTTAAAGGATTAGAGAATCCAGTTGTGTTTTGTCTGGCAACCTTACTGGGTCAGAGTTCAAGTATGTAAGGGCAGTCGTCTCAAAATGTGGTCTGTGGACCACAGTCCAAAAATGTTACCATTCTGCCAAGAGATAAATACAAAAAACTGAGATTAGCAATGTAGAAACTTTTAAGGCAGGATTCTTCAACCTTGGCACTACTGATTTGGGGCCCAATAATTCTTTGTTGTGGGGGCCGTCCTTTGCACTGTCAGATGCTTCTGAGCATCTCTGGCTTCTGCCCATGAGATGCTAGTAGCATCCCCCTCCCCAGGGGGGACAAGCAAAAACGTCTCTGCTATTGTCAAATGTCCTCAGAGGTGGAGGGGCAAAATCAAGAGCCCTCCCTGCCTCTTCCTGGTTGAGAACCACTAACCACTGGTTAAAAGCAATTTGACAGAGGAATGGTATGTCTGCTCCATCTAATAATTTTTAAATTGGACCTTGAATTTTGTATGTTTCTGTTGTTTTTTAATTTCATTTTACCAGTAATTCATTTTTATTGATTGTACTAAAGTATCAGTCTATAAGCCTTTGGAGAAATAAAAAGCAAAACAAAACTGGTCTTTCACCATTGATGGGTTTAGAAGCCCTGACGGAGGAAGAATACAACCAACATCTATGTGTAAGAAGGCCGCTGAGAGGAGACAGAAAATATCCAGCAGATTCTTTTGCTATCTTGTGGCTTGTGAACCTAAATATAATCTTTTTAAAAATATATAATCTTTTAACAATTTTTTTTAACATGTGGACCAAGCACATGGTACCAAATCGAAAAAGCACAGCCCAGCCAGGCACGGTACTTTATGCCTATAATCCCAGCACTTTGGGGGGCCAAGGCTGGTGGATAACCTGAGGTCAGGAGTTCGAGACCAGCCTGGCCAACATGGTGAAACCCCGTTGCTACTAAAAATACAAAAATTAGCCAAGAGTGGTGGCGCATGCCTGTAGTCCCAGCTACTCGGGAGGCTGAGGCAGGAGAATCACTTGAACTGGGGAGGCGGAGATTGCAGTGAGCCAAGATCGTGCCACTGCACTCCAGCCTGGGTGACAGAGTGAGACTCCATCTCAAAAGAAATAAAAAATAAAAATACAAAAATAAAAACACAAAAATTAGCCAGGCGTAGTGGCAGGCACCTATAATTCCAGCTCCTTGGGAGGCTGAGGCAGGAGAATTGCTTGAACTCTGCCCATTGCAGAGGTTGCAATGAGCCGAGATTGCGCCACTGCACTCTAGTCTGGGTGACAGAGCAAGACTCCGTCTCAATTTTTTTTTTTTTTTTTGAGATGGAGTCTCGCCCTGTCGCCCAGGCTGGAGTGCAGTGGTGCAATCTCGGCTCACAGCAACCTTAACCTCCTGGGTTCAAGCAATTCTCCTGCCCCAGCGTCCCAAGTAGCTGGGATTACAGGCACGTGCCACCATGCCTGGCTAATTTTTGTATTTTTAGTAGAGACAGGGTTTCACCATGATGGCGAGGCTGGTCTCGAAATCTTGACCTTGTGATCCGACCGCCTTGGCCTCCCAAAGTGCTGGGATTACAGGCGTGAGCCACCACACTTGTCTTTTTTTTTTTTTTTTTTTGAGACAGTCTGGCTCTGTTGCCCAGGCTGGAGTGCAATGACATAGTCTCGGCTCATTGCAACCTCCATCTCCCAGGTTCAAGTGATTCTCCTGCCTCAGCCTGCCGAGTAGCTGGGATTACAGGCGACTGCCGCCATGCCCAGCTAACTTTTTGTATTTTTAGTAGAGATGCGGTTTCACCATGTTGGCCAGGCTGGTCCCGAACTCCTGACCTCATGATCTGCCCGCCTTGGCCTCCCAAAGCGCTAGGATTACAGGCGTGAGCCACCACCCCTGGCCGCCCAATTTTTTTAACATGTGGACCAAGCACATGGTACCAAATTGAAAAATCACAGCCCCCAGTGACTTTAGAGTTACTAGGTTCTCATCCTCTGCCAGATTTTCCTAGTCTATGCAGACAGATACGCCTTCATACTTCCTCTTTCTCTCCCTCTGATGATGGACTTTCAAGGAGTGGCAGATCTGTGGCCACTCTGAGCAATGCTGCAGCATCCACCTTGTACATGCAGGCAGGAATCAGTTTTGGTAGATGATTCTGCAGCTAGATTATTTTCAGGCTCTTTGCAATACTATTTTGACTGTCAACATCATCAGTGTCAGCCCCATAAATTAATATATCTTTTTCTGATTTCAAAAACAATACATACTTATTATAAAAATTCAAATGTCACAGAAATATTTAACTCTAAAAGTAAAAATACCCTATAATCTCACTCTGCCCTGTTCTTCACCATAACCCCTATGAAACCTGGGGTCTAGTCTTCCAGAGTTTGCGTGTGTGTGTGTGTGTGTGTGTGTGTGTGTGTGTGTGTGTGTATTTTTTTAAAAACAAATGTGATCACATTATATATTCTGTCCTAGAACTATCATCCTTAGATATTAAACGTTACATACAAAATGTCAGCAAAGGTTTCTGGTACTAAAGCAAGAATAATTCAAACAAATCTATTTGTAAAGCAAAGTATTACTGATAATACATTTATCCAGATTTTAGAAATGTGAAAATCCACCAATGTGTAGCCATATGGTAGTCTGTTTGTTTCCTTGAAATTCACCCAAAAGGATTGTTCTCATGTAGTATTTATTAAAATGTATGTTTTCTGCCTAACATTGTTGAAGAAAACAAATATTTCCCTGGACCAGCCTAACCATCTTATTAACTGTAAATTGCATTATCTGAAATGCAATCAATATTCTTCTGGTATACAGTGCTCCTAACATATCATTCTAAACCACATTAATAGAGAAGCCTGCATAAGATTTCACAGGCTTTGTCTTGTCTAGCTATTGTTCAGATTTCTTCATTCAAACCCTGCAGTCTGAGCTGAGCATTAATTATCACTGAAGGCAGGAAAAAAAATGCCGCTTTAAAATAGCAAGCATTGATGACTACAGGTAAATAAATGCCACTGTCAGGTTTGGATTCCCAAATCAAACATTCCTTCAAAGAATATTTTTTGAGCATGTTTTACATTCTAAGCTCTGAGCTGGGTGCCACGGGTGATACAAAGAAGATTAAAATAGAGTCTCTGCCTTGCAAAGATTTCTTAGGAGTTTCCTTAAGAAATAATTACACTTAAAAAAATTTTTTTAAATATTTGGTGACTTAAGCTCATGTACTGGGTATCAAAAAATTATTGGATTTCAAGCAAGCATTCTTGCTGCTTTGGTGCATATTAATATCTTCTTCTCAGTATAGACATATCTCACCTGACGGATTAGAATATTTTAGTTTCCTTAATATGAATTTCTGCTAAATAAATCCTTCTATTATAAAATCAGATAGGCTTTTTGAAAGAAATCTTTATCTTTGAATGAAAGAAAATTATTATTTAAAAAGCAAGCATTCTAGAAATCACACGTACTGAAAATGCATGCTTAGCAGTGTACAGCATTTAGCAACTACTCAAAAAATTTTCATTATTGAATTAGTATATTAATGATAATAATATTGGCCATATTTTAAAAGTATCTCTTCATCTGTAAAGGACTTATCTACTTACTAAAGCTGACTCTGAAAATGCCGTCATGACCGTCACTGAAAAATGAAACCTGTCTAAATTGATCCTGAAACCCTGACAGTGTCATTTGTGGCTGTTTCACACCCTAGTCCCACTGTAGATAGTGTCGTTCCTGGAGCTTCGGGATTCCGTTAAATTCTACTTCAGCTTTAGACCTCTGTGCATGTCTAGCTGTAACTCTCAAGCAATTTCTTAATGAGTTTTCCTTTAATTCCACTTCTAGAACTTACTTTTGTCTTATCAGTTTATCAGGTAAAGAGACAGAAAATAGTTGATTAGTTTCCTGAGACTAGAGAGTCTAATATCCAAGCCTTACTATGAGTGCAGCAGTCTCACCTCTAAAAATACATTTCTTTCCTCTCGCAATTAAAAAGCAATTAAAGTCTGAATGCACTTTGAAAAAATTAAAAGTTAAAAATAAATAAACAAAAACACACTTTTCTCCTAAGTCAGCTGGTGAATCTGACCCGACAAACAGCATCATGGCTGTCACCGGGAGGCAGCTCCAAGGAATCCGTGGTTTTCACTCATTTTCCTTGCCAGGTGATTAGAGATGCCACCACTACGTACAGTCTGATGGAAAACACATCTTTATGTGTGCAGATATGTTTTAGGCTGCCGGAAGTGCCGTTTAAGATGATACACTTTTTGAGCAAATAATTTACATTAGCTTTACAGCACATAACTGAATCTTTTCTATTAGTTCTGAACTTTTCCTGAAACAGTTTTTATGCTATCTCTAATCGTATCCTGGGCCTTTGTTAAAACGATAATCTTTTTAATTCACTGAAACTCTACTTTTGATGTCAGATCCCTGGGGAACCCTGGTCTATGTGCTTCCCAGTTCAGGTTGGCGTAGGCCTCTCCCTCAATCTGTCCCTCTCCTGTCTCTTCTCCCTCCCTCCTCTCTGTAAGCCTTTTCCACCTCCCTCCAAGCTCCTGATGACAGTGATAGCTCGGCATTTATCTAGCTTTTTCTGTCTTTCTTTCTGCACTCAGAGTTTACAGCCAAAAAGCCTGTGTCCAGTGGGCATATTAGAGGCCTGTGAAACAACAAGTCCTAGTTCTACTACTCCCTAAAAGAAGAAACTCACTTAAACCACTTCCATAAAACCCCTAGCTAGAATTAGCTAAATCTTCAAATGTCCAGGCTTTAGGTTACAAGGTGTCCCTTATCAAGGGACATCTGTAGAAACTTTAGTTTGATTTCAGTCCTGAAAAAGACAGTCAACTCATGTCATCAGCACACCTAAATCTCAGCCTCACATGCATACACTCTGCCCACACACAGCACACACACTCACACACGTACACACACACAAACATACACACACACACACACAGAGTCACTACATTTACGAGGTTTCAAGCCTGCGGAATTTTGAATGACATCAGCCATGGCTACTGTAATGTCATGGGCTGGCAAAATCTGCAGATGAAGAATAGCAAGTTGTTTTAACAGCAGCCAGTAGGGTGGTACTACCACTTCCTGCCAGGATGTCACCCCGTGGTAAATCCGCAGGAACATCTCTCTCTCCTGTAACTATCCAGGATTGCTCCCCAGCAGGGTACCAGGTCCTCCCACTAGATCATCCCTTCTCAGAAAGTTTCTGGCACACCTAATGCTGTTATTTACCAAGGGCTACCTATGATATTTTTTAAATGGAGTAAGGAGAGAAAGTGAATCACATAAGTTTGGTTTGTTGGGAGGGAAAGATGAAAACTCAAATTCCAGCCATGGCCTGTTGTTATGGGTTGAATTGTGTCCCCCAGAAAAGATAAGTTGAAGTCCTAATGCCCAGGACCTATGAATGTGGCCTGTTTAGAGACAGGGTCTTGGCAGATGCAAAGAGTTAAGATGGGATCATATCACAGGATAATGTGCCCCTAATCTAATGTGATAGATGTCCTTATTGGAAGAGGAAAGGAGCTGTGTGAGGCCAATACAGGGAGCAGGCCACGTGGCAAGGGTGGCAGAGATCCAAACGCTGCGGCTGCTGGCCAAGGAACATCAAGGAGTGCCGGGAACATGGCTCTGCTGACACCTTGATTTCGGACTTCTGGCCTCCAAAACTGTAAGACAACACATTTCTGTCATTTGAAGCCATCCAGTTTGTGGTACTTTGTTATGCAGTGCCAGGTGACGAATGTACCTATAGAAGCCTGGTGACACAAGAGGTGTCCCCCCATCACCTCTCTGAGACTTTTCCAACTGCATCAAATGAGCAGCAGGGCAGGCATCACGGGACCGTGGGGAGGGCTGATGAGACAACTGGGGCAGGAAAAATCCATCAAACCCAGGTTATATTTGGGTCTATTCAATTTTGTTATCAAAAAAGCTTAGGAAGAGCAGGGTGCTCATTCGCCGTGTCATTGGGTGTTTAGTATCTCGCTCTCTGGACGTGTTCTTACACTCTGAGGACAGCAGCAAATGGAAGAACCCACCACACACTGCACTGCCTGTGGGAAAGCCCAGCCGGCTCACCCAGCACTACCCCGGCACAGCCTGGCACCACCCAGCTATGTCCTTGCAGAGAAGCTTTGAAGGAAGCACTGATTTTACTCCTCAAAATGCCAACCGAAATAAAGACAGGCCAGGCACAGTGTCTCATGCCTGTAATCCCAGCACTTTGGGAGGCCGAGGCAGGTGGATCACCTGAGGTCAGGAGTTCAAGACCAGCCTGGCCAACATGGTGAAACCCCGTCTCTATTAAATATACAAAAATTAGCCAGGCATGGTGGTGGGTGCTGGTAATCCCAGCTACTGGAGGCTAAGGCAGGGAGAATTGCTTGAACCTGGGAGGCAGAGGTTGCAGTGAGCCGAGATTGTGCCACTGCACTCTAGCCTGGGCGACAGAGCAAGACTCCATCTCAAAAAAAAAAAAAAAAAAGAAGAAAGACAAAGTTTACTTAAGATAAAAAAAAAAAAAAAAGCGGCCAGGTGCGGTGGCTCACACCTGTAATCCCAGCACTTTGGGAGGCTGAGGCAGGTGGATCACCTGAGGTCAGGAGTTCGAGACCAGCCTGACCAACATGGAGAAGCCCCATCTCTACCAAAAATAACAAAATTAGCTGGGCGTGGTGGCACATGCCTGTAATCCCAGCTACTAGGGAGGCTGAGGCAGGAGAATCGCTTGAACCTGGGAGGCGGAGGTTGCGGTGAGCCGAGATCGTGCCATTGCACTCCAGCCTGGACAACAATAGCAAAACTCCATCTCAAAAAAAAAAAAAAAAGATAACAAAAAAAGCAAAGGCTAACTATGGTGTTCCTAAGAAGATGAGCTGACCTATATCGTTTTCCAAAAGGTGTGGGAGTCTGTCCATCCCGGATCAGGCTGTTTGTGCCAGCTGTGTTGGCCTTGATGATTTGCCTCCATCTTTCTTTAATTTTGATTCACAAGTAATTCCTGAGTATATTCCATTTTAAAGATTCAAACAACACAGGAACATACAGGAGAAAAGGGAACGTTCCCTCCTCTCCCACTGTGGGGCCTCCTCCCTTCTTCTATGCATTTCTGTATATAGACATGTACACAAGCACACAGAGAGAATTTTAAAACATAAATATCATTCTCTTTCTATTCCTAAGCCTCTGTAAGCCCATAGGGCTTCCTTTTCCTCTTAAACACATCCTGTACAATCTGAAATGTTTCACAATATACTATCTTCACACAGTGCTCTTAAGAGTTGTAAGCTTTTATGATTTAGGTTGGGGGTTCAATAGAAACTGTTTGTAAGTGCCATTTAAAAGCTATTTTATTTAACTTTAGGACACTTTCATTTCGCAATTATATATAATATAATGCAGATCCTAAGACAAATAAAAATGGCTGTCAGAGAAAAAGGTAAGCAGTAACCTGAAGCTGACAGCAATTAAAGTCCATTTTTGCTATGAGAAGGAAGTCCAAAATGCTTATAAATGCTACTCATTTCTATCATTTCTATAAGCTCTGTGATTAGAATTTAAAGACTGCAAACTAAATATGGACTTTATAAAGATTCAACAAGCTACAGATTGAACTTATAAAAATAGTTCCCTTCTTCCTATAGGTTACCATGCGGGTCTTGCCTGACTCTGAGGCTTGCACGCCTGGAGTCATTTTTAAGTCCTCTTTCCTTTGCTCGCTGCAGGCAGCTTATTACCCAGTGAGCTCCAGAAAGGAGTGTGGGCTTTGACCTTCCCAGAGCCAGTGGCAGAGCCCTCGTGGCCTCTCCTCTGGATTATATCTGCCATCTCCTGACCAGGCCCTCTGTTTAGTCTCTTTTCTCCTCTAAGCCCTCTGGCACACTGGGCCCTAGAAAACTTCCAGGTCCAATCTTCTTTGCCACGCCACATGAGATGAAATAGGGTGGGAAGTTTTACTGGGTAAAGATTTCAGGTCCATCTAGTTCTCATAAGAAAAATGTGGCCATGACTTTCAGATGCTCTGTGGCCACCTTCTCATGGGCTGGTTGACTCTCTATCAGGGAATTCCTAGGAATTGTATATAATAAGTACTTTTTTTTTTCTTTTTGAGATGGAGTCTCACTCTGTTGCCCAGGCTGGAGTGCAGTGGCACGATCTCAGCTCATTGCAACCTCCGCCTCCCAGGTTCCAGTGATTCTCCTACCCCAGTCTCCTGAGTAGCTGGGATTACAGGCGTGCGCCATCACGTCTGGCTAATTTTTTTGTACTTTTAGTAGAGATAGGGTTTCACCATGTTGGCCAGGCTGGTCTCAAACTCCTGACCTCAGGTGATCCACCCGCCTCGGCCTCCCAAAGTGCTGGGATTACAGTTGTGAGCCACCATGCCCGGGTGAGAATAAGTACAATTGTATGGGAAGAGTGATCCATTATTTTCCATCATATTCCCAAGGACACCCTTGACTCCACAAAAAAGCATAAGAACCACTGACATTATGTATCAGAAGATCACTGAATTTCAACACTGGCCAGAGGTCAGATTTAATTGGCCATTCATTTATCCCTTCATTCACTCAAATAAAGGCTATCTTAGAACAGTGACAGGGCCACGCACTGTCCTCCAGGATCAGTCATTTATCAGGGCAGATCACAAGATGGGAACACACCAGTAGAGCTGTGGCTTTTTGAGGAAATGTCTTGGAAAGGTTCAAGGTTATGAACTTGGCTCTTTATGGCCAGGTCATTTTCAGGATGATGTTGCTGAGAGAAGCAAAACTAACTCATAGATTTTGAGGAGAATGAGACGGCACGTGCGCTGTGAAACTGTAGAGAATCACCACATATCACCTTCCTCCAGAAACTGGTTCCTCCTGGTGACCTTCTAAAATGGGTTGAATGGGGAGCTCCCAAAAAGATATATCTGCTCAAAGCCTGTGGGTGTGACCTTACTTGGAAAAAGGGTCTTTACAGATACAATTCAGGATCTCAAAATGAGATCACCCTGGTTTAGGATGATCCCAAAATCCAATGACAAGGATTCTAATAAGAGAGGAGAGGCAACATGAGGACGGGGGCAGAGAGTGGAGCAATGCGTCCACAAGCCAAGGGCTGCTGACCACTCCCAGAAGCTGAGAGAGAGGCTCAGGACAGGTCCTGCCTGCAAGAACCCAGAAGGAAGCCGCCCTACTGACATCTTGATTTCAGACTTCCAGTCTCCAGAACTGTGAGAAAGTAAACTTCTGTTTTGTTTTGTTTTTTGTTTTTTTGAGACGGAGTTTTGCTCTTGTTGCCCAGCCTGGAGTGCAATGGTGCAATCTCGGCTCACTGCAACCTCCACCTCCTGAGTTCAAGCGATTCTCCTGCCTCAGCATCTCGAGTAGCTGGGACTACAGGCGCGCGCCATCATGCCTGGCTAATTTTGTATTTTTATTAGAGACAGGGTTTCTCCATGTTGGTCAGGCTGATCTCGAACTCCCGACCTCAGGTGATCCACCCACCTCGGCCTCCCAAAGTAAACTTCTGTTTTTTTAAGCCACTCAGGTGGTGCTAATGTGCGCCAGGAAATGGACGGACCTCCCTGTTTCTGTGGACGTGCCATTTCTCTGCTCACTTCCACCCTCACCCCTCTCCGAGTCAGACGACAGCTTACAGCAGCCAGCTGAGGGCTTCCCTCCTCCCCATTACGCCCTCCTCCTTTGAAGGGCACACTCCCACCTCCAGGTAACCAGTGCTCATTTCCTCAACCCCATTAGTCTTGCTTTATTCTTTTTTTTTTTTTTTTTTTTTGAGACAGGGTCTCACTCTGTCACCCAGGCTGGGGTGCAGTAGTGCAATCTCGGCTCACTGCAACTTTGAGTTCCCAGATCAAGCAATCCTCCCACCTCAGCTTTTCAAGTAGTCAGGACCACAGGCAAGTATCACCATGTCTGGCTAATTTTTTTTATTATTGTTATTTTTTGTAGAGACAGGGTCTCCCTATGTTGCCCAGGCTGATCCCTAACTCCTGGGCTCAAGGGATCCCCCTGCCTCAGCCTCCCAAAGTGCTGGAATTACAGGCATGAGCCACAGCACCTAGCCTCAGTTCCTTTTTGAGACAGAGTCTCACTCCTGTTGCCCAGGCTGGAGTGCAGTGGCGCAATCTTGGCTCGCTGCAACCTCCACCTCCTGGGTTCAAGCGATTCTTGTGCCTCAGCCTCCCAAGTAGCTAGAATTACAGGTGTGTGCCACCACACCCAGCAAACTTTTGTAATTTTAGTAGAGACAGGGTTTTGCCATGTTGGCCAGGCTGGTCTTGAACTCCTGGCCTCAACTGATCTGCCCGCCTCAGCCTCCCAAAGTGCTGGGATTACACGCGTGAGCCACTGTGGCCAGTCAGCCTCAGTTCTTTATTTAAAAATCCCCAGTCTGTGGGCTTTTCCCTGATCACCCACTTCACCCTGGGCCCTGCTACACTCCCAGTCTGCCTCCTTACTGAATTTCCCCCTGCCCCATAACACCTACTACCATCTAACAAGTTACTGTTCTAAGAGTATCACTTTCACATCTCTCCCTAACCAAAAAGAAAAACAGAAAACCCCACAATGAGAGATAAGATTACAAGGGATGTTTGTCTCCCTCTTTATACTATTCTGTTTTTTCTAGTTTTTCTATGTTAACGTTTTGCTCTTTTTATTATAAAAAGTTATGGAAAAGAAAGCTCCTGAATGGTTCCCTCTCGCCTGCCAAATATCTTCGGGGGCCCACCCCCGAGAGCCCTTGGCAGCCGGACCCTCACTGCTGGCATGTCCTTAGTTCCTTCTCTTCCTCCTTGAGTGATCTCCACCTCTCTATGTGCAGCCAAAACTGAACTCTGACCCGCACTTCACTGAGAAAGTCTCCCTCGGATCCCATGAAAGGAAACCAGATGGGCCAGAACTATTCCAAGGCATGAGGGGCAACAGACAGAGACAGATGGAAGACATATGTTAAAGTCACAATTGGACCAAGTAAGAATCCCTAAAGGCGAGTGCTTAGGTCTCAGTTACATTACTCACTCCAGCATTCTGAAATTCTTTTCCTCACTCTATTATACTTAATTTGAGCTTGGAATATCACACTAATTTTTCTCATTGCTTACTTTTTTTTAATGCCAGTGTGCTCGTTGGGCGTCGCTATTCAACAAACCATGAGCAATCTAAAATGCAAGCCCTCCTCTGATGAGAAGTGAAATTGATTTTTTTAAAAGCCACTTGGATTCACCAGAAACAACTGTCTTTTAACACTTGTCTGAACTCCTACCTAATTATTTTTAGGGCTTTGGGCTAGAAAGCAAATTGCATTATGTTCTTCTAAAAGTATATACTTACAGAACCATCTGTAATCCCTTCAAAGCAATCTTTGCAAGTCACTACTGGAATATTTAATGCTATAAATTCTATTAGATCATAGAGTCACAGGGCTGGAAGCCATCTAGAGAGCCAACAGATCATAGGCCTCTGCTGTCTTCAAAACCACATCTTAAGTAGGCCAGAAAATAAATGACCAAATGTATCTTTTCTGTAAATCCCTTTCTGCTTCCACCTCCCACCCTTAAAAATATTTTCAGGTAGAATGAGATCAAGTCCATAAACATCTAAATTTAAAAAGGGAATTGGGCCGGGCATGGTGGCTCATGCCTATAATCCCAGCACTTTGGGAGGCCAAGGCGGGCAGATCACCTGAGCCTGGCTAACACAGTGAAACCCCATCTCTACTAAAAATTCAAAAAACTAGCCAGGCAAGGTGGCGCACACCTGTAATCCCAGCTACTCGGGAAACTGAGGCAGGAGAATCGCTTGAACCTGGGAGGCAGAGGGTGCAGTGAGCTGAGACCGCGCCACTGCGCTCCAGCCTGGGCGACAGAGCGAGACTCCGTCTCAAAAATAAATAAATAAATAAATAAATAAAAATATAAAGGGAATTGGAGAAGAAGGTGTGATGGTCCATGAGTACTTCCCCCACTGGGAACATCTGCAGGGATCACAGGTAAACACTCTGGGATGGGCCCCACCCTTTCTTCTCTCCTTATCGCCAGGTTATCCAACAGGGTAGGCACCAGCAGCCAAGCCTAGTCCAACCTAGGTGATCCCCCTGCCCAAATTCCCAAGGCAGGAAGTAGCGTTAAGAAGAGACAGACTTCGTGACATCTACATGAAAACAATGGCTTCTTTATCTCCAAGGCCAGATTCATTCTAACTTGGGCAAATGCTAAGAGGCATTTTTTTTATGGGTAAAAGCAAGTCAGGCCCTATCCTAAAATGAAAGTGTATTAGAAGTCGCAGTCTCCTGGCTAGGCGCGGTGGCTCACGCCTGTAATCCCAGCACTTTGGGAGGCCGAGGCGGGTGGATCACGAGGTCAGGAGATGGAGACCATCCTGGCTAACACGGTGAAACCCCGTCTCTACTAAAAAGACAAAAAAATTAGCCGGGCGTGGTAGCGGGCGGCTGTAGTCCCAGCTACTTGGGAGGCTGAGGCAGGAGAATGGCGTGAACCCGGGAGGTGGAGCTTGCAGTGAGCCGAGATGGCGCCACTGCACTCCAGCCAGCGCGACAGAGCGAGACTCCGTCTCAAAAAAAAAAAAAAAAAAGTCGCAGTCGCCTTCTGTGGCATTATCCCATGCTCTCCTTCATTGTCACCCTCCTTCCCACCCCCAAACCCCTGCTTTTTCCACCTCTCTCCTTTTTCAGACCCCATAGGACCTTCCACCTCCCCTCAGTCTAACAGTAACTCAACGTTCACTCACACAGCAAGTGTTTTTTGAGCACCTCCCATGCCCCAGACACTGCACTGAGCACTGTTCATAAATATCCTCTCCTTTAATATCCATGGCATGACTCAGGTAGGTACTGTACTCGCCCTCATTCAGCTGACAAAGGAACCGAGGCACAGAGAAAGTAAGTAACCTGCCTAAAGGCACAAGCTGGTGAGCAACAGAGGAAGCCAAGACCTGAGCCCGGGAAGTCCAAGGTCAGTGGCCCTGCTCTGGGCGGCTTCCTCATTAGGCCTCCTCTCAGGCATGGGACAACCTCTAGGGGCCTTCTATTTGCTGACGGTTGTGTTACCTTGAGACCAGCCCACACTGGGCCTACTCTGTTGATAACAAAATGGTCAGTTACCTTGAAGGTACAACACAGCCAAAAAGCTCTCACGTCATGGAGCCCAGGCAGGCGCAATAGAAAACGCTGGACCCTCTAACAACACCCGGAACCTACGATTCCTCGTTTCGGAACCAAGAAGACTGAGACATGACCGGAACCCGAACTCCGGAACTCTTCCAGAAGCGAGGGGTCCAGTGGCCGGAAGATCCGGGACTAAAATTGGCCTCCACATACCTTACCATAAATGGCCAAATTTGAAGCCTTCCAATTGGACCCTGTCCAGCCAACATTCCCAAATCCTTTCCCTCTCCCTCCGAGCCCATAAACTTGCCCCAGACCCCAAGTCAGGGAGACAGATTTAAGCCCAATTCCCATCTCCTTGCTGGCAGGTTTTGCAATAAAGCCTTTCCTGTCTCAGCCAGGCACCGTGCCTCACGCCTGTAATCCCAGCACTCTGGGAGGCCAAGATGGGAGGATCGCTTGAGGCAAGAAGTTGGAGACCAGCTTGGTCAATATAGTGAGACCCCCATCTCAAAAAAAAAAAAAAAAAAAAAAAAAAAGCCAGCCGGGCGCAGTGGCTCATGCCTGTAATCCCAGCACTTTGGAAGGCCGAGGCGAGTGGATCACCTGAGGTCAGGAGTTCCAGATCAGCCCGGCCAACATGGAGAAACTCCTCCTCTACTAAAAATACAAAAATCAGCTGGGTGTGGTGGCACATGCCTGTAATCTCAGCTATTCAGGAGGCTGAGGCAGGAGAATCTCTTGAACCTGGGAGGCAAAGGTTGCAGTGAGCCGAGATCGCTCTACTGCACTTCAGCCTGGGCGACAAGAGTGAAACTCCGTCTAAAAAAAAAAAAAATTAATTAATTAAAACAAAAACAAAACAAAAAAAAATGTCTTTCCTGCCTAGCTGTTGGCTTCTGTGCGCATAGGGCAGCGAACCGTTGTTAACAGCAGTGGTGCAAGCATTAGGAAGTATAAGGTGCTGGGAGAGTATATGAGGAGAGGACCTGACACCATCTGGGCTCAGGGATAGCTTCTTGGAGTGGGGAGACAATTAAATTAGGGCCAGGCAGATAGAAGAGTCATCAGAGAAAGAGGTAGGGGAGGAACGTTTCGGTCCAGGAAATGAATTCATTCATGTGTTCGTTTACTCTCTCATTTGGAGTTTGATACTGAGCTGCCAGTGAACGCTGCTTTCTCAGAGGCATTGGCATCTGCAGACTAGAACCTGGGCAGGAAGCAGAGATTCTGGTAGTCATTCACTCATTAACCCTATCAATATCTGTCGACCCTAAACTGTGTCATTGTTAACCTCAGGCAACAAGGGTTGCTGGGGCTTATTTGACAAATGGATGAGGGGCCTTCCCTTCCTTCCTGAGATCTTCACACAAAGGCCACTTGGCAGGTGAGGCCAACTCCGGATGAACATCCTTCACTTCATCCATTAGTTTTTAATGCCCTTTCCAAGAAAAAGAGGCCAAGTGCACCAGACTCCTGCTGCACTCAGAGTCTGAGCTGCTCTGTACCACTGTATCCTCAAACTTGTCCTGGAAGACAGAATGGAAGTGATGGTTCAGCCAAATGGCCCACTCCTCCAAAGCTTTTCATACTTAAAAATCAAGCACTCTGGGAGGCATCTGCAATAATGTATGCTGTCTTGCTCTAGGCAGTGGTTACACGGGTATGCACACTATGTAAAAATTCATCAAGCTCTGCACTTAGGAGGTGAGCATCTTCTACATCTTTTTCACAATTCAATTAAAAAGTTTATTTAAAACATCAGCCAATGCAGTTCACTTTCTGGTTCTCATTAGCATTGTGGGAAAAGAGAATATTTGAGCTGGGAAGGACCCCTGAGAGTAGCTAAACTAGCCTTTACCAACATGTGTTCCATGGAACCCTGGCCCCAAGAGATTGTCTGAAAAACAGAAATGCATATGGGTCAAATAAACGGGACAGATGCTACATAGTATTTGTTTTAGGGATTCACAATATCAGCTCCAAAAGAGAGCTCATCGGTCTCCACACATCCCGCCCTCCACCTCATAGTCTCCATGTCAATATCACTTTTTCCATACTCCAGGAAATGGTATCCACCCAATGGCACAAGCCAGAAATCTGGGAGTCGTTTCTGATTTTTAGCTTTCTCTTACTTCTTGCAATTACATCTCCAAAACTGTTCTGAAATCTGTCCACTTTTGCCCCATTTTCACTCCATTACTCAGAACTGCCAGCATGACGTCTCTCCCCTAAAACACCTTGGGCCTCCTAATGGTTCTGCCTCCCTCTCCCTCTTCTCTACAAAGCAGCCAGAAGCTCCCAGAAAAACAGATATATCACTCCCCTGATGAAAATCTTCAATAGTTTCATGTCTCCCTGAGAATAAAGTTCAAAATCCCTAAAAAGGCCTCTGAGCTCCCTATCCATCTGGCTTCAGGCTGGACTTCCCCAGTGTCTCCAATGTTCCACGCTCTCTCAATAGGGGCATTTGCTCTTTTTCTCTGCCACTCTCGATCATAACCTGGGCAACTCCTCCTCATCCTGTGGGGCTCAGCACTTCTTTGAGGATGCCCCCTGCCATGCACTCCCATTTTCCTTTTTTTTTTTTTGAGATGGAGTTTCGCTCTTTTTGCCCAGGCTGGAGTGCAATGGTGCAATCTCAGCTCACTGCAACCTCAGCCCCCTGGGTTCAAGTGATTCTCCTGCCTCAGCCTCCCCAGTAGCTGGGATTATAGGCATCCGCCACCACGCCCAGAAAATTTTTGTATTTTTAGTCCAGGTTTCACCATGTTGGCCAGGCTGGTCTTGAACTCATGACCTCAGGTGATCCACCCACATTGGCCTCCCAAAGTGCTAGGATTACAGGTGTGAGCCACCACACCCGGTCCCAGATTTCCTCTTTCATAATATCCTTGAAATCCATGGCCTGCTCAATGGACAAGGACTATGTTGTCGCTCAGGGCTCTACCTCTAGCAATGCCTGGCCTAGGAGGCATTCAATACTTGCTTTTGAATAAATGATAATACTGAATGTAAAATAAAATGAAAAGAAAATTCCTCTTACACTTAATATAACTGAGAATTTCCCAAACAGAGTTGACCACAAAATTCTTTTCTCATTCAACCCTAAAAAACTTGTGCTCCTTGGAATACTTGGTAGAAAAGCGGATCTGTTCCAAGTCTCATTTTACAGATTCTGAGGCCCAGAGAGGTGAAAAGAACTGACTGAAGTCATTTAGCCCGTTAGTTCTTGAAAGACTATAATTTGTTCTCAGAAAATAACGTACAGTGTAGTAAAATTTAACTATATTTAACACTACTTGGAGATGTTTTGAAGCTAAGAAATACCGTAGAAATTAGAAATCTCAATTAAGATAAGAGGAAAGGGCTAGGCAAGAAAGATAAGAAGCTGGTTTCTTATCACTCACATCGAAATAAAATTAAATTATTAAACAGTTAAGTGAAAATAAGAGCAAAATCTAGAAAAAAAAGGTAAGGGAATATTTAACTGAATTATCAATGGGAAGAACGTTCTACACTTAAAAACAATGGAAGAAACCATAGAGTAAATGACGTGACTGCTAAAAACTAAAATGTTTATGTATTAAAACATCATACAATTAAAGGCAAGCAACAAACAAGGGAAAGGTTTTCAGCGTATGCTACAGATTCAGCTAATTATTCAAAAATTTATATTAGAGAGGCGGGGGGCGGGTGGCTCATGCTTGTAATCTCAGCACTTTGGGAGGCTGAGGCAGGCGGATCATTTGAGGTCAGGAGTTCGAGACCAGCCTCACAAACACGATGAAACCCCTACTAAAAATACCAAAAAATAGCTGGGTGTGGTGGTGCGAGCTTGTAATCCCACTCTGGAGGCTGAGGCATGAGAATCGCTTGAACCTGGGAGGTGGAGGTTGCAGCGAGCTGAGATCGTGCCACCGCACTCCAGCCTGGGTGACAGAGTGAGACTCCATCTCAAGAAAATATATATATATATATTAGAGCATATGCAAATAATAAGGAAAGCATTCAAGGGGAAATGTTTAGTAAACATGGAAAAAGTTCATGCTGACTGCAAATCAAACAAATGCAAATTAAATGAGCTGGGCATGCTGGCATACACCTGTAGTCCCAGCTACTCCGGAGACTGTGGTGGAAGGATCGCTTGAACCCGGGAGGTTGAGGCTGCATTGAGCTGTGATCATGCCACTGCACTCCAGCCTGGGTGACAGGGCGAGACCCTGCCTCAAAAAATTAAATTAAATTAAATTAAAAATGCAAATTAAAGCCACAAGAAACCACTGCCACCATTCAAATGTTCAAAGATTAAGAAAAAGAAAAATCGTCATGACTGGGCACAGTGGCTCACGCCTGTAATCCCAGCACTTTGGGAGGCCGAGGCAGGTGGATCACCTGAGGTTGGGAGTTCGAGACCAGCCTGGCCAACATAGTGAAACCCAATCTCTACTAAAAATACAAAAACGTAGCTGGGCATGGTGGCAGATGCCTGTAGTCCCAGCTACTCAGGAGGCTGAGGCAGGAGAATCACTTGAACCCTAGAGGCAGAGGTTGCAGTGAACCAAGGTCATGCCACTGCACTCCAGCCTGTGCAACAAAAGCGAAACTGTCTCAAAAAAAAAAAGAAAAATGGTCATTCCCAAAAACCTCACTAAGGTGAGGCACTAGTCAAGAACCCTCTATTCATGCTCATAGTCTTTCTGAGAAGTCCTTGGCAAGATGTTACGATAACCTGAAGAGTATGCTGAGACCTGGTGATTTCACTTCCAAAAATACTAAGGAAATAACCCAGTTGAGAGTCATGAACTCAGATGTACATGTTGGCATTATGTAAAACAGTGAAAACTGGAAGTCACTGGCGTGTTCACCAGTGGGGGTATGACTGAGTAAAAGGCAGGCAGGCCACAGCAAGGAAAACGATGCCCATGAAGAGATTTTAAACGTACGGGGAAGTGCTTTAACTTAGATAGGGTCTCACACAGGCTGGCCTTGACCTCCTAAACTCAAGCAACCCTCCCACCACAGCCTCTCAGAGTGCTGGGATTACAGGTGTGAGCCACCATTATAGGCATGAGCCACCACGCGTGCCCACTTTAACTTTATGTATTTATTTTTTTTGAGATGGAGTCTTGCTCTGACACCCAGGTTGGAGTGCAATGGCACAATCTCGGCTTACTGTAACCTCTGCCTCCTGGGTTCAAGCAATTCTCCTGCCTCAGCCTCCCAAATAGCTGGGACTACAGGTGCCCGCCACCACGCCCAGCTAATTTTTGTATTTTTAATAGAGACAGGGTTTCACCATGTTGGCCAGGCTGGTCTGGAACTCCTGACCTCAAGTGATCCACTCAGCTCGGCCTCCCAAAGTGCTGGATTACAGGCGTGAGCCACTGTGCCTGGCCTTTAACGTTTGTTTTTGTTTTTGTTTTTTGTTTTTGAGATGGAGTTTCGCTCTTGTTGCCCAGGCTGGAGTGCAATGGCATGATCTCATCTCACTGCAACCTCCACCTCCTGGGTTCAAGCGATTCTCCTGCCTCAGCCTCCCGAGTAGCTGGGATTACAGGCGTGCTGATTTTTGTATTTTTAGTAGAGATGGGGTTTCACCATGTTGACCAGGCTGGTCTCAAACTCCTGACCTCAGGTGATCCACCCGCCTCAGCCTCCCAAAGTGCTGGGATTACAGGCGTGAGCCACCACACCCAGCTAACTTATATATATTTCAAGCAAATGTAACAAAGTAAGAAAATTTTATTAAGTGTGACTGCAACTAAAGAAAAATGCAAAGACAATGAACTGGAAGAAAATAACTACTCTGAGTAATGAGCGTATCAAGTAATTTTTATTTTCCTCTTGCTATTTTTCTGCATGTTCAAATTTTATCGATAATCATATATTGCTCTTCTAATCAGAAACAGCAATTGCACCTTTTTCAGAATGCCTGTGTACCCTGGCATGTGGGCCCTGGGATGCCCAGCAACAGAAGGGCAGACAATAAACACTGAGCCAACACTGAGCCTGAGGCCCTCCAGGCCTACAAGGGCCAACCTTCGGCACCACTTGGCTCTTATTACCTACTTGAATTTTCCACATCGGATTTAAATTGCAGCCACCATGCATTGGTGTGAAAGATGGCGCCAGAGGCAGAACAGCCACAGCAGGGCCGAAACAGGCTGCCTTCTTCCCAGCGCCACTATGTGTACACACCTGAGTTGTCTCATTCCTACATGTGACCCACCTGGCCAATACAATACAGTTATTCCTCTGTATCTTCAAGGGATTGGTTCCAGGACCCTCTCAGACACCAAAACCCATGGATGTTCAAGTCCTTTATATAAATTGGTGTAATATTTGCATATAACCTATGCACATCTTCCTGTATACATTAAATCATCTCTAGATTACTTATAATACCTAATACAATGTAAATATTGTAAACATTTGGAAAATATTTTTTCCAAATATTTTTGATGGGCATTTGGTTGAATCCACGGATGGACAACCCACGAATGGCCCAGAACAGCGGCTCATGCCTGTAATCTCAGCACTTTGGGAGGCTGAGGCAGGAGGATCCCTTGAGCCCAGGAATTTGAGACCAGCCTGGGCAACACAGGGAAACTCATGTCTCTTTAAAAAAAAAAAAAATTAGGCTGGGCACAGTGGCTCACACCTGTAATCCCAGCACTTTGGGAGGCCGAGGCGGGCGGATCACGAGGTCAGGAGATCAAGACCATCCTGGCTAACACGGTGAAACCCCGTCTCTACTAAAAATACAAAAACTTAGCCAGGCGCGGTGGCGTGCACCTGTAGTCCCAACTACTTGGGAGGCTGAGGCAGGAGAATGGCATGAACCTGGGAGGCGGAGCTTGCAGTGAGCCGAGATGGTGCCACTGCACTCCAGCCTGGGCAACAGAGCAAGACTCCGTCTCTAAATAAATAAATAAATAAGCAAGCTGGGCATGGTGGCATGTGCCTGTAGTCCCAGCTTCTCAGGAGGCTGAGGTGGGAGGATTGCTGCAGCCCAGGAGGTCAAGGCTGCAGTAAGCCATGATCACACCACTGCACTCCAGCCTGGGGGGACAGAGCAAGACTCTGTCTCAAAATAATAATAAAAAAGAATCCATGAATGCAGAACCCACGAATACGGAAACAGAGGGCTGACTGTAGGTCTTTCTCTACCTGTGTGAACAAAGCTGGTTATATTCAACTAAATAGCCAAAAGAAAAAGAAGGTATTACTTATAGCATAAATGCTTTGGATAACAGGAGTTGAAAAGAGGACACAAATGTAGTGTTGGTCAGTTTTAAAACTAAAACTCAGGCCAGGCGCTGCAGCTCACGACTGTAATCCCAGCACTTTGGAAGGACGAGGTGGGCGAATCACGAAGTCAGGAGTTCGAGACCAGCCTGGCCAACATGGTGAAACATCATCTCTACTAAAAATACGAAAAAATTAGCTGGCCGTAGTGGCGGGCACCTGTAATCCCAGCTACTCGAGAGTCTGAGGCAGGACAATCACTTGAACCTGGGAGGCAGAAGTTGCAGTGAGCCAAGATCCCGCCAGTGCACTGCAGCCTGGGCAACACAGCCAGACTCCTTCTCAAACAAACAAACAAACAAACAAAACAACTAAAACTCAGAAAAATAAAATTCAATGGTCATTACTTAATAAGTTCAAATGTGCTGGGCACGGTGGCTCATGCCTGTGATCCCAGCACTTTCAGAGGCTGAGCTGGGTGGATCACCTGAGGTCAGGGGTTCGAGACCAGCCTGGCCAACATGGTGAAACCCCGTTTCTACTAAAAATACAAAAATTAGCCAGGTGAGCCCAGTGGCTCATGCCTGTAATCCCAGCACTTTGGGAGGCCAAGGCAGGTGGATCACGAGGTCAGGAGATCAAGACCATCCTGGTTAACAGAGTGAAACCCCGTTTCTACTAAAAATACAAAAATTAGTCAGGTGGGCACAGTGGCTCACGCCTGTAATCCCAGCACTTTGGGAGGCTGAGACAGGTGGATCACGAGGTCAGAAGATCAAGACCATCCTGGCTAACAGGGTGAAACCTTGTCTCTACTAAAAATACAAAATATTAGCCGGGCATTGTGGCGGGTGCCTGTAGTCCCAGCTACTCAGGAGGCTGAGGCAAAAGAATGGTGTGAACCCGGGAGTCGGAACTTGCAGTGAGCCAAGATTGTGCCACTGTACTCCAACCTGGGCGACAGAGCAAGACACTGTCTCAGGAAAAAAAAAAAAATTAGCCAGCCATGTTGGCACATGCCTGCAATCCCAGCTACTTGGGAGGCTGAGGTAGGAGAATTGCTTGAACCTGGGAGGCAGAGGTTGCAGTGGGCTGAGATTACGCCACTGCACTCCAAGCTAGGCGACAGAGCGAGACTCCATCTCAAAAAGTTAATTAATTAATTAATTAATTAAAATAAATAAATTCAAATGAACCTTAGTGAGCATAGGTACTATATCCCAGGCATTAGATTAGGTACCTTTGACCCCTACAATAATATCTCTGAGGTAGAGAAAGATGCATGGGCCAAGCACTAGCGTGCAAGCACATCAGCGTTTAGCCTTTTAAGCTGAGAGGGAAACTGCTCTGCTCTTTACAGCTGTGGTCCTAGAGGAAGATATTTCTTTTGCTTTTTTATTTTTTATTTTTGAGACAGCGTTCTTGCTCTGTCACCCAGGCTGGCATGCAGTGGTGCAATCATGACTGACACAGCCTCGACCTCCCGGCTCAGGCATCCTCCCACCTCAGCCTCCCAAGTAGCTGAAGCCATAGGCACACACAGACATGCACCAACACGTTCAGCTAATATTGTTTATTATTTTTTTAGAGATGGGGGTATCTCCCTATGTTGCCCAGGCTGGTCTCCAACTCCTAGCCGCAAGTGATTCTCCCACCTTGGTCTCCCAAAGTGCTGGAATGATAGGTGTGAGCCACCATGCCCATAATAGGCATAAACTGGGAAGATATTTACGTTATCTGATTTAACTACCTGATAGAGCTGTTTTGAGGATGAAATGATATAATACTAGTGAAGATCCATGGAGGTACATCCCAATAAAACAGTAAAGAGGCAGGGCACGGTAGCCCATGCCTGTAATCCCGGCACTTTTGGGAGGCGGAGGCGGACAGATCCCTTGAACTCAGGAGTTCGAGACCAGCCTGGGCCACAAAACTCCCCTCCCCTCACATAACCCCTTAACCTTTTTAATCAGTACTTGTTCTTTTTTTTTTTTTTTTTTTCTTTGAGACAAAGTCTCGCTCTGTCGCCCAGGCTGGAGTTCAGTGGCGCCATCTCGGCTCACTGCAAGCTCCCCCTCCCGGGTTCACACCATTCTCCTGCCTCAGCCTCCCAAGTAGCTGGGACTACAGGCGTCCGCCACCACGCCTGGCTAATTTTTTTGTATTTTTAGTAGAGATGGGGTTTCACCGTGTTAGCCAGGATGGTCTCGATCTCCTGACCTCGTGATCCGCCCGCCTCGGCCTCCCAAAGTGCTGGGATTACAGGCTTGAGGCACCGCGCCCGGCCTTTAATCAGTACTTGTTTTAATATTTCATGTAGTTTCCTTTAGGCCTGTAGGGAAGGGAAAATGCTTTTCCTCTACACTCTCATGTTCAATAACTAGGGGCTTGCAAATTAAGCTGCAAAAGACAGGTACCTTTGACAAAAGGAAAAAAGCAGTTTATGTGTGTAATACACATACACACAGGAGTGCTCAGTGATGAGCAACTCAAAGGGGTGGTTCGCATTTGGGGCTTATATACCTAACTTAGTTGAGGAAAAAGAGGGGAGAGAAAGGCTATTATGGGGGAAAAAATGGGTTTCCTGAGGAAAGACAAATAGGAGTTTTCAGGAGAAGAAACAGGAGATAAGAAAGTTTGTGAGACTGTCTAGACAGGTATGGGTGGTCTCCTTCAGGGCCATAAAACTTCCCTGATGAATGCATTTATGAGTAGACCTAACCCAAAAGGGGAATTTATAGCAGCCTCCTTTCTCAGAAGTCACTGCTTTTAGTCAGATAAGGGAAGCTCTGAGAAAGTTTCTTTCTATATGTTCATTCTCAATTACCTTCAGCTCAAAATAATCCTGATGACAAAGTGTCACATTTTGGCATGGCATATTCTGATCTCCCTTAGGTTAAATAACTATTACAAAGGGAGATTAAAAGCTGATGCATTCTATCAATTCTAAAGAAAAAGATACCAGTAATATAATATAATGAAATAATGTAAAAAGTATAATTTATACAATCTAGAATGATGACTATTATGTAATTGCCACCTTAATCATAAGACAAAAATCCCAAAAGTATAAGTGTCACTAAAGCAATTATCCACCTTTAAAAGACAGCATTTGACAACATTCCTAATATCTTTCTTAATCTACTGCTTTTCCTAGATTAAATGTATTTTTTAAATCACTGTCAGCTCTCTTAATCTTTAGAAATTTTTAAGCTTTTAGTACCATCGTTTTCTCTAGGACAATTTTTAAACATTTTAATATCTTAAATTTGAGGTTTTCTTCATTTTCCTGAAATTATCAAATCAACCCCGAAATCCCCAATATCCAAACTTTTTCTCACTAATCACTATAGGTTATGAGGAAATCACCTTGGGCCTTTTTCTGAACAATTTCCTAGGTTTGTCTTTACAGGAAGAAAGAAGAGTAAGTTCTAGGAAAACCCTAAGAAATATTTTGAATAAAATGCTTTATTTTGCCTAAGTGCAGAAAATCTATACAAGTTTCCCCAAAAGGAAGTTTTTAATAAACCAAAAAAGGCAAAAATATCCTTAGAAATAATTCAGATGAGGCTGATATTCCAAAGGGCTTAATTATGGAATCTATTTCATATTTTAGTTTCAGAGCGTAATTCATATGACATATAAAACACAAGGTTCGGCCTACGTCCTCAGACGAAATCTTCTCCCTGAAGGAATATAAATTCATATTTTTGCTAGCATTTTTAAGGTGCAAAATACTTAAGTGTGGGTAATCTCCTCTGTCCTTAGCCCTTTCGTTATAAACATTTAAAACTTCTAAAGGTCACCAATGGCTTGCACTTTCCCAATCAATTACTGAAAAGAAATGTGCCAGGCTCACGGTGGATTGAGAAAATATGAGTAATTCATGGGCGATTTAAACTGCCGAAGAACTCCCAGAATAGGATTTTTAGCACACACGGGTGTTACTGGGTGGTATCTACAAGTATTGGGGGAAAAGAGGGTAGACTTATGGGGGTCACGTGTTGGACTCCTGTTGACTCACTCTCAATCTCTGATCAGTAGAGACCTGGGTGTAGACGATCGGGATTTCTGGGCAAAGGGGCTCCTGATGATGAAACAAAGCCGACAGGTGGTACCTGCAAATCCCCGGAGAGGGACAGGCCGGCCGGCGCCCTCTCCCTCCCCAGAGCCCAGCATCTGAGCCCTCGGCGTCCGCAAAGTCCAGACGCTGCCACTCAGCCCTGAAACTGACACGAAACGGACAAGACAAGCTGCCGCGCTTCAGCCACAGGCACGCGAGTGACGGGATTTCCTGGATCATTGACCCGCGGCCCAGCCCTGGTCCGGCAGGTCGCGGGCTCTCAGCTCCGGCGAAGCTGTCCACCCAGACTAAAGCGCAATTGCCCGGAGCCCGCGTGGCTGCGAACCACGCGCCGGGTTTACTTTCATATTTAGCTAGGCGCTACCCACAATGCATTTGTAAAAGTGAAATGCAGAAAAACCTTGGTTGATTAACATAATTCTTACAAACTCTCTTAAGAGAGAGCATTTGGTTTTGTTTTCATTGTGTTTAATCAAAAAGTTTTACACATTTTATTTTTACGATCATGGCATAGGCTCTGAAAAGTCTCCTTACCTAGAAAAGACCCTAAGTAGGCACTATAAATAACAAGAGACTCACAGGATAACACAGTTGGTCCGAGTGTTGTGGGTTATTGTTAAGTTGATTTAACATTGTCTCCCCCCACAACCGCGCTTGACTAGCTTGCTGTTTTGCACTAATAACAGTAGTAGACAACGTTTACATAAATCAATAAAAACGCATATAAAAGTAACCTTTAGTTGACGGTTTGAACGAAAGAGTAGCTTTTAGTTGATTTGAAAAACTTTCAAGGAAGCCTATTGGTTATAAGCTTCTTTTAGTAAGATTAACTTCCCAGCAGCGTTGAAGTATTAACCTTCAAAATGCCTGAGAAGAAAATTTACACGAAAGGAATAATTTTGTTTTAATTACCTTTGAATGTATTAAATATTGTATTCGGTTTTTAATAAACCTTATAATCAAGGTTACTTTTCTATATATGTGAAAATATATATATATATATACACGCATACATACACATATACACACACATACATATATGTATGTATACTTTCCCCCCCACCACCCCGAGACAGAGTCTTGCTTTGTCGCCAGGCTGGAGTGCAATGGCGCGGTTTCGGCTCACTGAAACCTCCACCTCCTGGTGGCTCACGCCTGTAATCCCAGTACTTTGGGAGGGCGAGGTGGGAGTGGGAGGGGATCGCTTGAGTTCAGGAGTTTGAGACCAGCTTGGGCAGCATGGCGAAACCCCTGTCTCAAAAATGAAAAATAAAAAAGTTATAAACAGTTTGTTGCTATAAATTCAATAATTGTGTAGGTGTGAGTGAGCAGATAATGTACATTTTTTGCATAAGTTTGTTCGTTTGTTTCACATATAAAATATATAGGTTTTACAATCTGAAAGCTATAAGAAAAAAAAATTTAAGAATATATAGGTTCACAGATTCGGATCAATATCCAATTTATAACCAGCTAAGAATGGAGGTGTTCATCGGTTTCACCTCCCTGGCAAGGCTTCCTCGCTGGCATTCATCCAGCCTTTCCGTCTGCAGTTGTCAGCCAGCAGTTGCTTAGAGTTGACACTCAGATTCAATCAAAAAAGTCCAACACACTGGCTTTCTTCATTAGCAAATAAACTTGGCTGCACTATTGAAAAATATGCACCCTCTATTGTAAATTTGCTCCAAAAAAATGCCCTTGAAAAAATTGGCAAAAGGGCCCTATCATTACTAAATCTCGACAGAAGAAAAGGGCATCATTTGTTAATAAGGGCCTGAGGAGCATTCACAAGCTGCTGAGAGCTTGCTGAAAACGGGCACTTTGTGTCTGTCAGCCTTCTTAAACTATTAATACCTGAGTCCTGAATGTAAAAGCCTTGACATACAAAGCCCCCAAATTCTAGAATGGCTGGTAGTCTACAAAGTTAGAATACCAGAATCTCTTTTTTTTTTTTTTTTTTTTGAGACGGAGTCTCGCTCTGTCGCCCAGGCCGGACTGCGGACTGCAGTGGCGCAATCTCGGCTCACTGCAAGCTCCGCTTCCCGGGTTCACGCCATTCTCCTGCCTCAGCCTCCCGAGTAGCTGGGACTACAGGCGCCCACCACCGCACCCGGCTAATTTTTTGTATTTTTAGTAGAGACGGGGTTTCACCTTGTTAGCCAGGATGGTCTCGATCTCCTGACCTCATGATCCACCCGCCTCGGCCTCCCAAAGTGCTGGGATTACAGGCGTGAGCCACCGCGCCCGGCCCAGAATCTTGTTCAATGTGCTAAATGTGATAGGCACTTCAATATCCACTTCAGGTGACAAATAATTAGAAATGAGGTCCACCGTGAAGGAAATGGACCAGAACTTAGCTTTTGTATATATAATTTCAACCTATGACTCAAACCCAAGAGTGACAATGAGTAAGATCAGGTTTTAGAGTGAAATAATTTTTTATGAAAAAATATATATCACTGAGTGCGGTGGCTCATACCTGTAATCCCAGCACTTTGGGATGCTGAGGTGGGCGGATCACTTGAGGTCAGAAGTTTGAGACCAGCCTGGCCAACGTGGTAAAACCCTGGTATCTACTAAAAATACAAAAATTCGGCCGGGTGCGGTGGCTCAAGCCTGTAATCCCAGCACTTTGGAAGGCCAAGGTGGGCGGATCATGAGGTCAGGAGTTCTAGACCAGCCCGGCCAACATAGCGAAACCCCGTCTCTACTAAAAATACAAAAATTACCCGGGAGTGGTGACAGTCACCTGCAATCCCAGCTACTTGGGAGGCTGAGGCAGGAGAATTGCTTGAACCTGGGAGGCGCAGGTTGCAGTGAGCCAAGATTGTGCCACTGCACTCCAACCTGGGCGACAGAATAAGACTCCATCTCAAAAATATATAATATATCATATATTATGTATATATTATGTATATAATATATCATATATTATGTATATATTATGTATATAATATAACATATATTATGTATATATTATGTATATAATATAACATATATTATGTATATATTATGTATATAATATAACATATATTATGTATATATTATGTATATAATATAACATATATTATGTATATATTATGTATATAATATAACATATATTATGTATATATTATGTATATAATATAACATATATTATGTATATATTATGTATATAATATAACATATATTATGTATATATTATGTATATAATATAACATATATTATGTATATATTATGTATATAATATAACATATATTATGTATATATTATGTAAATATAACATATATTATGTATATATTATGTATATAATATAACATATATTATGTATATATTATGTATATAACATATATTATGTATATATTATGTATATAATATAACATATATTATGTATATATTATGTATATAATATAACATATATTATGTATATATTATGTATATAACATATATTATGTATATATTATGTATATAATATAACATATATTATGTATATATTATGTATATAATATAACATATATTATGTATATATTATGTATATAATATAACATATATTATGTATATATTATGTATATAATATAACATATATTATGTATATATTATGTATATAATATAACATATATTATGTATATATTATGTATATAATATAACATATATTATGTATATATTATGTATATAATATAACATATATTATGTATATATTATGTATATAATATAACATATATTATGTATATATTATGTATATAATATAACATATATTATGTATATATTATGTATATAATATAACATATATTATGTATATATTATGTATATAATATAACATATATTATGTATATAACATAACATATACTATGTATATAACATATGTATATAACATATATTATGTATATAGTATAATATAGATATTATGTATAATGTATATAATAGATATTATGTATAATGTATATGATAGATATGTATAATGTATATGATAGATATTATGTATAATGTATATGATAGATATTATGTATAATGTATACGATAGATATTATGTATAATGTATATGATAGATATGTATAATGTATGATAGATTATATAATGTATATGATAGATTATATATAATGTATATGATAGATATTATATATAATGTATATGATAGATATTATATATAATGTATATGATAGATATTATATAGTGTATATGATATGATATATTACATATAGTGTATATGATATGATATATATTATATATTGTGTATATGATATGATATATATTATATAGTATATATGATATGGTATATTATATATTGTGTATATGATATGATATATATTATATATTGTGTATATAATATAAGGAAAAAAGTAGCATCCTTACAGAACATGAAAAACGTAAAAACAACCATAGAGAGAGAGAGAGAGAGAAAGATATCTTGTTGAAATGAATGCTATCATCCCTTGCATTTCAGGGAACTCTGCAAGGATCCTGCCTCCTGGCACTAATTTTTTTGTGCCCTTGTGTAATTCCCTCTTCCTGAGTGTAATCTGAACTTACTGACTCATTTCTAAGGAATAGAATAAGACAAAAGTAAAGTGCCTCTCTCCTTTGCCGGGGAAAGCCAGCTGTCACGTACTGAACAGCCCTACAGAGGCAAAGAGCTATATATGCAGCCAACAGCCAGGGAGGCCCTGAGCACTGTGAGAGGGCTTGCGGCCAATCTCTCCCCAACTGAGCCTTGAGATGACCACAACCGTGGACCACACCTTCATTTCAAGCCTGTGGGAGACCCTGAGCCTGAGCACCCAGCTAACTGTGGCCAGATTCCTGACCCACAGCTAGTGTGAGGAAATCAATGTTAGTTGTTAAGTGTTGGGTTTGTTTGTTATGCAGCCATCAATAACTAATACATGCACTTTACCAAGAAGTGCTGCCATTGCTGAAGCATATTTGGAACCCTTCTGTTTTGAAAGTCTCCTTCAAAGTTGAAGTGTGACCCATGCAAGAAAATGGGTCGTGTTATTTTACATCACTTCATTTTTGCCAAGACAGTGCTTCCCATTGCGTTATCATATTCAACGTCCTTGACTTTGATGGACTCTGGACCGTTTTAAAAAGCAAATCTATCTTCAAAAGAGGAAAATTTGCTGCCCCAGAGATACCAAAAAGAATATTCCACGGCTTCTGAAGACAAACTCATTTGGTTTTATTTATTATTTTATTTTATTTACCTTTGAGTTGCAATCTCACTCTGTCACCCAGCCTGGAGTGCAGTGGCATGCACTCATGGCTCACTGCAGCCTCGAACCCCTGGGCTCAAATGATCCTCCCACCTCAGCCTTCCAAGTCACTGGGACTACAGGCACGTGCCACCATGCCTGGATAATTTTTAAAAAATATTTTCGAGGCCAGGCACGGTGGCTCAAGCCTGTAAACCCCAGCACTTTGGAAAGAGGCCGAGGAGGGCACATCACGAGGTCAGGAGTTTGAGACCAGCCTGGCCAATATGGTGAAACCTCATCTCTATTAAAAATACAAAAATTAGCAGGGCGTGGTGGTGCGCATCTGTAGTCCCAGCTACTCGAGAGGCTGAGGCAGAAGAATCACTTGAACCTGGGAGGCGGAGGTTGCCATGAGCCGAGATCGTGCCACTGCACTCCAGCCTGGGCAACAGAGCGAGACCTTGTCTCAAAAAACAAACAAAAATTTTTCGTATCCATCTCTGAAGTATCTGGGGAAAAAAAGAAAATAAAAATATTTTTGTGGCTGGGCACAGTGGCTTACGCCTGTAATCCCAACATGTTGGGAGGCCAAGGTGGGCGGATCATGAGGTCAGGAGTTCGAGACCAGCCTGGACAATATGTGAAACCCCTCCTCTACTAAAAATACAAAAATTAGCTTGACGTGGTGGCGCGCACTTGTAATCCCAGCTACTCAGGAGACTGAGGCAGGAGAATTGCTCGAACCGAGGAGGTGGAGGTGGCAGTGAGTTGAGATCACACCATTGCACTCCACCCTGGGTGACAGAGTGAGACTCCGTCTCAAAAAAATATGTATATATATTGGGATCTCAAAATTCTGGCCTCAATTGATCCTCCTGCCTTGGGCTCCAAGTTTTTATTTTGCTTTGTTTTGAGACAGGGTCTCATTTTGTCACCCAGGCTGGAGTGCAGTGATGCGATCTCGGCTCACTGCAGCCTCGAACTTCTGGGTTCAAGTGATCCTCCCACCTCAACCTTCAGAGTAGTTGGGACTACAGCGCAGGCCGCCTGGTTAGCTTTGTATCCCAAGATTTTGAATACATTTTGATCAATGGCTGTATCCTTGGAGTAATTTTTCCAAGCGATTATTTTGAAATGGATAATAGAGTATTTACTTTGGATATTGAATGCACCAATTCCTCAATGAATGAGTTGTGCTGTGTTTATTTATTTAGTATCTAACAAAAATATAACACTTCCTACTGATGATAACTCTATGTGGTAGGTGCCATTATGCCTGTTTTACAGCTGAGGAAACTGAGGTAGAGGAGTGGCCCACGGGCACACAGCAAGTACGTGGCACAGTAGGAATCTAATCCAGGCAGTCTGGCTTCTGGGACTTTGCACTTTACTACAAAACTAACTTGCTTCTGTGTTTGTTCACTTTGTTTTCTAGTTATATATCTCATACAATAATAAGTTCTAGACAAAAACAGTTCCTTAATATTCATTGTAATAAAATTTCACCTCTATTCAGATAATATTTCAAATAGATGGGTTAGGAAAGTGTGTGAAACATGAAATTGATATTGTTTGTTCATACATTCTCCTGTAAGAGAAGGTAAAATTAATCAGAGCAACCATCTTTGGCCAGATCTAGGAAAGGCACAAGCTCGAAGGAGCAAATTAAGAATTTGCTGTTCATGTAAAGCCTGACTTTTTTTTTTTTTTTTTTTTTTTTTTTTTTAGTTAGTAATATATCAGACTTCGACTAGAACTTTCCACTCCTTCAGCTAACCCCTGCTGCTGCTATGCCCAAGGGCAATTCGATCAGAGCCCATGCCAGATTTGAAGGCTGGCCCTTATGGAAGCCACTGCCTTTGTTACCCTGCCAGAGACCTCAAGAGAACTACTGAGTTACTTTAGAGGGTTCCTTGACTGCTAAACCTCGTTTGACTTTCTTCTGCTGCTTGTAAGGGTGTCCAGCTGAGTCTATCCCTTCTGGCTCTAACCAATAGACAGATCCTTGCTGTTCCACAGTTTCATGGGACTGGACCCCCTCCCTTGGGTCTGCTCTCTGTTCTGGAAACCACGAAAGAGTCTTGTTTATTCCTTTTTTGTGTGTTGCCATTTAGCATATCCTTTGCTGTTTCCTAATAATTTGCAAATGTGTCTTATATCCCCAAATAGATAATAACTTCTTTAGTAGTGGGTATGCAATTGTATTCGTTTCATTAGCCTCAATGCCTTCTACATAGGAGTTGCTTGTTTTAAAAACAAGAACCCAGGCTGGGGTGGTGGCTCACCCCTGTAATCCTAGCACTTTGGGAGGCGGAGGTGAGAGGATCACTTGAGGTCAGGAGTTCAAGACCAGCCTGGCCAACATGATGAAACCCTGTCTTTACTAAAAATACAAAAATTAGCTGGGTATGGTGGCAGGCAACTGTAGTCCCAGCTACTAGGGAGGCTAAGGCAGGAGAATTGCTTGCACCCAGGAGACGGAGGTTACAGTGAACCGAGATTGCACCACTGCACTCCAGCCTGGGTGACAGAGCTAGCTAGACTCCATCTCAAACAACAACAACAACAACAACAAAACATAAAAATTAAGCTGGGTGTGGTAGCTCACGCCTGTAATGCCAGCACTTTGGGAGGCCAAGGTGGGTGGACCACTTGAGGTCAGGAGTTCAAGACCAGCCTGACCAACATGGTGAAACCCCGTCTCTACTAAAAATACAAAAAATTAGCCGGGTGTGGTGGTGCACATCTGTAATCCCAGCTACTCGGGAGGCTGAGGCAGGAGCATCGCTTGAAATCAGGAGGCGGAGGTTGCAGTGAGCCGAGATCATGCTGAGAGGTGACAGCATGCTGGCAGTCCTCAGAGCCCTCGCTCGCTCTCGGCACCTCCCTTGCCTGGGCTCCCACTTTGGTGGCATTTGATGAGCCCTTCAGCCCCCCACTGCACTGTGGGAGCCCCTTTCTGGGCTGGCCAAGGCCAGAGCCCACTCCCTCAGCTTGCAGGGAGGTGTGGAGGGAGAGGCACGAGCGGGAACCGGGGCTGCGTGCGGCGCTTGCGGGCCAGCTGGAGTTCCGGGTGGGCGTGGGCTTGGTGGGCCCCGCACTCGGAGCAGCCAGCCAGCCCTGCTGGCCCCAGGCAATGGGGGACTTAGCACCCGGGCCAGTGACTGCGGAGGGTGTACTGAGTCCCCCAGCAGTGCCGGCCCACCGGCGCTGTGCTCGATTTCTCGCTGGGCCTTAGCTGCCTTCCCGCAGGGCAGGGCTCGGGACCTGCAGCCCGCCATGCCTGAGCCTCCCACCCACTCCATGGGCTCCTGTGCGGCCCCAGCCTCCCCAACGAGCACCACCCCCTGCTCCACGGCACCCAGTCCCATCGACCACCCAAGGGCTGAGGAATGCGAGCGCACGGCGCAGGACTGGCGGGCAGCTCCACCTGCAGCCCCGGTGCGGGATCCACTAGGTGAAGCCAGCTGGGCTCCTGAGTCTGGTGGGGACGTGGAGAGTCTTTATATCTAGCTCAGGGATTGTAAATACACCAATCAGCACCCTGTGTTTAGCTCAAGGTTTGTGAGTGCACCAATCGACACTCTGTATCTAGCTGCTCTGGTGAGGACATGGAGAACCTTTATGTCTAGCTCAGGGATTGTAAATACACCAATCGGCACTCTGTATCTAGCTCAAGGTTTGGAAACACACCAATCAGCACCCTGTGTTTAGCTCAAGGTTTGTAAATGCACCAATCGACACTCTGTATCTAGCTGCTCTGGTGGGGCCTTGGAGAACCTGTGTGTGGAAACTCTGTATCTAACTAATCTGATGGGGACGTGGAAAACCTTTGTATCTAGCTCAGGGATTGTAAATGCACCAATCAGCACCCTGACAAAACAGGCCACTCGGCTCTACCAATCAGCAGGATGTGGGTGGGGCCAGATAAGAGAATAAAAGCAGGCTGCCCAGCCAGCAGTGGCAACCTGCTCGGGTCCCCTTCCACGCTGTGGAAGCTTTGTTCTTTCACTCTTTGCAATAAATCTTGCTACTGCTCGCCCTTTGGGTCCACGCTGCTTTTATGAGCTGTAACACTCACCGCGAAGATCTGCAACTTCACTCCTGAGTCCAGCGAGACCACAAGCCAACCGGGAGAAATGAACAACTCCAGACACGCTGCCTTAAAAGCAGTAACATTCACCGTGAAGGTCTGCAGCTTCACTCCTGAGCCAGTGAGACCACGAACCCACCAGAAGGAAGAAACTCCAAACACATCTGAACATCAGAAGGGACTAACTCCAGAGGCGCCACCTTAAGAGCTGTAACACTCACCGCGAGGGTCCGCAGCTTCATTCTTGATGTCAGTGAGACCAAGAACCCACCAATTCCGGACACAATGCCAGTGCCCTCCACTCGGCAACAGAGCAAGAGTCTGTCTCAAGTCAAAACAAAACCATAAAAAATTAAAATAAAATAAAAAAATAAAAACAAGGACCCATGTTATCAACTATATGCAAGATCTAGGTTGACTTCAGGAATCATGTGAACACCAGAAGAGGCTCGATCTCTTTATCTCTGAGTTGCTGTATCCAACCTTCAAAAGATTCCAAACTACTAGGAATACTGATGAAACTCAGCAGGATTGAGGATTGGTAGTGACCTTGACCATTTTGATGAGTTTTCAAACTACTTACTGAACACTATGATTAAAAAATGGTTATTTGATTTTGTATCTATATATTTGTGTGTTACTTAATATAAATAATTGCACTCAGGGACTTGTTTGACTCAAATGCAGATGTTTTAAGCCCTAAGAATCTGAATTCAAAAAGGGTTCCAGGTATCCATGTCCTAACACTTGGGTTCTCATCCCCTTTCTATTCCTTTACATGGAAGCAAAACACCAGTCACTTTCACAAGAAGATTGTCAACAAATATTTACTGGCCGCCGCTATTGGCAAAGCGCACTAGCAAGGAAAACAAGAGAAACAGCCTCTGTCCTCAAGTAGCCTAGTAAATAATGCGATTTTCCTGCCACTGTGTTTCTCTCTAAAGAACCACAAAGTAACACCAAAGTATGCTGTAAAATCACATTGAAAAAAATTGTTTTCTTCAAAACAACATACAGAAGGTTGGATAAAATTGAGATAATAAATCGATTTAAGGAATTTTAAAATATCTTTTTTTTTTTTTTGAGACGGAGTCTTGCTCTCTCGCCCAGGCTGGAGTGCAATGGTGCAATCTTGGCTCACTGCAACCTCCGCCTCCTGGGCTCAATCAATTCTCCTGCCTCAGCCTCCCAAGCAGCTGTGATTACTGGCACCCTCCACCACGCCCAGCTAATTTTTGTATTTTTTTAGTAAAGATGGAGTTTCACTATGTTGGCCAGGCTGGTCTCAAACTCCTGACCTCGTGATCCAGCCACCTCGGCCTCGCAAAGTGTTGGGACTACAGGTGTGAGCCACTGCACTGGCCTAAAATATCTTTTTAATGTAACATTTTATTGTATATAATACATATATTATCAGTTTTTTGTTTTTTTGTTTTTTGTTTTTTTTTTTAAGAGATGGGGGTCTCTCTATGTTGCCCAGCCTGGTCTTGAACTCCTAGCCTCAAGAGATTCTTCCATCTCAGCCTCCGAAAGTGCTGGGATTACAGATGTGAGCCACTGTGCCTGGCCTATAATACATACATTATCTTTTTTTTTTTTTTTGAGATGGAGTTGCTCTGTCACCCAGGCTGGAGTGCAGTGGCACGATCTCAGCTCATTGCAGCCTCCACCTCCCGGGTTCAAGTGATTCTCCTCCCTCAACCTCCCGAGTAGCTGGGACTACGCCCTCCTCAGCCTCCCAAAGTGCTGGAGTTATAGCTGTGAGCTACCATGCCCAGCCAAGAATATGTTTCTAAGAAAAGAACATATGCAACTTTGGGGTGTCAGTTGCTGATAGGAAATCCATGTCACTGGCTTATGCTGGTCTCAGGCTCTGCAGGATGTGCTCATCCCTGGCAGGTTGGTTAGCAGAAGACTGGAGGAGGTGAGGAGGATAGAGAGACTCGTATAGCAGGGAGCAATGGTCTCTGTAAGGCCACAAATAGTCACTTCATCAAGCGGTAGAGAGCTGATCTGGCAACATTACCTGCTTTAGCATTTCTTTCCTTGGAGCAATGTGTCATAGCTATTTCCCTCCTCCAGGAGAGTAAGAAACAGAACAATCTAGGCAGGGGTGAGGCCACAATGCCGCAGCTTCCTGAGCACAGCAGGAAGATACAATGGAGATTCCTTTTTTTAATTTTTAATTTTTGTGGGTACATACTGTATACTCTGTGTATATATTTATGGGATACATAGTACAATGATGTGATCTCAGCTTACTGCAATCTCTGCCTTTTGGTTGGGTTCAAGTGATTCTCCTGCCTCAGCCTCCCGAGTTGCTGGGATTATAGGCACCCGCCACCATGCCCGGCTAATTTTTTGCGTATTTAGTAGAGACGGGGTTTTGCCATGTTGACCAGGCTGGTCTCGAACTCCTGACCTCAGATGATCCGTCCACCTCGGCCTCCCAAAATGCTGGGATTACAGGCATGAGCCACTGTGCCCAGCCGAGATACCTCGATGCAGGCATACACTGCATAAAAATTACATCAGGGTAAACAGGGTATCCACCACCTCAAGCATTTATCCTTTATGCTACAAACGAGCCAATTATACTTTTAGTTATTTTCAATGTACAATAAATTATATTGTTGACTGTAGTCACCCTGCTGTGCTATCAAATACTAGATATTACTCATTCTATCTAACTACATTTTTGTACCCATTAACCATCCCCCACTTCCCCCGACCCCATGGATATTCTTGACTAAATGAGAAATACATTTCATAAATGCTGTCAGGATTCAATGACTTAACTGCAGGTGTCGGTCCAAATGCCACATGTGTAGATACAGGAGAAAAATCCTAAGTGCCAAGGGAAGATTGACATACTGAAACCAAAAGCCTGCTGCCACCTTCCTATGGACCGAATGTTTGTGTCCTCCCCAAATGTGTATGTTGAAACCCTAACGCCCAGTGTGATGGCATTTGGAGATGAGGTCCTTGGGAGATGATTAGGTCATGAGGGTGGACCCTCACATAATGATGATCGTGCCCTTTTATGAACAGGCACAAAGAGATGATCTCTCTGCCGTGTGAGGACACAGTAAGGAGGTGGCTGTCTGCAAACCAGGAATAAAGTCCTCACCAGGATCCAAATCAGTCAGTGCCTTGAACTTGGACTTGCCAGCCTTCAGAACTGTGAGAAATAAATGTTTGTTGTCTAAGCCACCCAGTCAATGATTATTTGTTACAGCAGCTGGAGCTGAGCAAGCCACAGCTCATCAGATTCCATGTCTACCACTTATTAGCACCATGATCATGCCCAAGTCACTCTTTTGAGGCTTGGTTTTCTCATTATTAAAATAGATGTAATAATAGTACTACCTCATAGAATCATTAGGAGGATGAACGACTGTACTTGGTACAGTCCCAGATCAGTGGTAGCTAAAATTAATGCTATCTATTACAATGATTATTATTATTGTTTGCTCTTTATTTCATAGGCATGATATTTTCTATATTGTAAATTATTCTGGTATAAACAAAATGTTTTTAAATAATATCATTTGACTCTGCTTGTGAGGATTTTAGGAAAAGATAAGGACCTTGTACCCAATTCAAGAGCCCAAGGTACCAGGCAGGGTGGCCTTAGACCTCTGCCTGCTGCTGAATTCTCAAATGTATTCTCAAGTCAGTTTCCCCAGCCCTGGCCAATCGGGGCATCTCATCTACCAACTCTGCTCCACTGCACCAGGCTCTGCGCACCTGACTTCCTTACCTCTCTTGCCTGAGATTAGGACCTACTCTCATGCTTCCACTTGCAGCCCTGAGGCCTTGCTCTTCACCTACCCCGTGAATGTCCTGAGAGAGCAATAAAGGATTGCTCTTGGAACTCAGTTTTTACATAAAGAAAAAAAGGCAATAAAACTTCAAGTGAAGACTCTTAATAATGTGGTACTCACTGGCTGGGCACCGTGGCTCCCGCCTCTAATTCCAACACTTTTGGAGGCCAAGGCGAGAGGATCATTGGAGCCCAGGAGTTCAAGGCCAGCCTGGGGAACATAGTGAGACTCCATCTCAAAATAATAATAATTATATATATATATAAAATATGTATATATATAGAGAGAGACAGAGACCGAGAACAAACTCACTGACAGCCTTCAAACAAGGTGCTTTTACAGCAAGCTTTGAAGAGTAACAGAGAAAGAGAAATACATGTTGTAGCCAAGCCAAGAGTTGGAATAGTGGGCACCGCGATGGGCATCGACTTATAACCTGCTGGGCCCCGTGTGTGTTCCCTCTCCAGGCTCACTTGGGCCTATGTGAGACTCTTATTCCTGTTCTACAGAGGAGGAAAATGAGACCCAAAGAGGAGAACTGGCTCATGCACAGTGAGCAGTTGCAGCTTAGCGACCAAAACCAGCCCCTGGAAGCCAGGCCCAGGCCCTTCCCTGCCTGTGGCCCTCACCGCGGCTGCTGCCTGCAAGCTGGGAGCCAGACCAGAGGAGCTGGTGCGTCAGGCATGAAGCAGCAGGTCTGAGCAGAAAGAAAGAGACAAGTACAGAAGAGAAAGAAAAAAGATTTTTAAAAAGAAAGAAGTCCCTGCCGGGTCAACCTGCCAAAACCAAAACACACAAAGCCTTCTTGTTGCAGGGTTTGGAGTGGCCACCTTGCAGAATGCCACAGGGCTGTGGGGAGCGGTGGGCACAGCCTATCCCCTCCCTCAGGGCCTGATCCAAAGACCAGACAGAAAGGCCGCCTGTTCCCATGTGGTTTATGGTTCTGTGCTCCCCGCCTGCCGCCTTCTTCACCTGGGCCCCTGCGGCTGCCTGGGGCTGTTTCCATAGCTGCATGGCAGGTTCCAGGGGGAGCCTCTGGGAAGGGAACCCCACGTGCTCATCTTCCTGGAGAAGGGGGTGGTGTAAGCCCACAGATTCTGCCAGGCCCTTCCCAGCTGTGGGACGCGGCCGCGTCCCATCACCCACCTTGGGCACAAGGCTGCCCTTCTGGTGCCACGTCCCAGGCTGATGGCCCCGGTGTCCAACTGCCTTAGCATCCTTGTCTGTGAATAACAAGTGCCATCTTCAAAAGCCAAGCTGTGCCAAGAGGAGGGTTCATTAACTTGGAAGGAACATTGGGAGAGTGTTTAAGTCAATTTTCCCCCTTTTCCAGCTGGAAAGCCATGTTAAGAACCACCCGGGTTCAGCTTTGCAGGAGAGGCCTGAGATGCTCTGCGTGCTTAAACGAAGTCTCTCTTCAGGTTCCTTTACGGTTTGGAAATTTTATTCCAATCAGACGTAGGTGTTTACACAACGTTATTTACGCTCTATGGGAAGGTGTCCACTCTGCTGCTTTTATTCTAATTGGCTGAGTTGGCTGCAATGAGGAAATTGAGTTTTCTGACACAAATCGCACCACAACACAATCTGGTATTGGAGGATATATACACAAAGAGAAAGCAGACACTATCCTAAACATCAAACTTCTGATTTTCAGGGGTTTCTTTGTTGTTGTTGTTGTTGTTGTTTTGAGATGGAGTCTTGCTCTGTTGCCCAGGTTGGAGTGCAGTGGCGCGACCTCGGCTCACTGCAAGCTCCGCCTCCCGAGTTCATGCCAGTCTCCTGCCTCAGCCTCCCGAGTAGCTGGGAATACAGGCGCCCGCCACCACGCCCAGCTAATTTTTTTGTATTTTTAGTAGAGAGGGGGTTTCACCTTGGTCTCGATCTCCTGACCTCATGATCCGCCCGCCTCGGCCTCCCAAAGTGCTGGGATTACAGGCATGAGCCACCGCGCCGGGTGTTTGTTTTTTGTTTGTTTGTTTGTTTGAGACGGAGTCTCGCTCTTGTCACCCAGGCTGGAGTGCAGCGGCACGATCTCAGCTCATTGCAACCTCCACCTCCTGAGTTCAAGCGATTCTCCTGCCTCAGCCTCCCGAGTAGCTAGGATTACAGGCGCCTATCACCACGCCAGGCTAATTTTTGTATTTTTAGTAGAGATGGGGTTTCATTCACAGATGAATCTGTGGGCTTACACCACCCCCTTCTCCAGGAAGATGAGCACGTGGGGTTCCCTTCCCAGAGGCTCCCCCTGGAACCTGCCATGCAGCTATGGAAACAGCCCTAGGCAGCCGCAGGGGCCCAGGTGAAGAAGGCGGCAGGCGGGGAGCACAGAGCCACCCGCCTTGGCCTCCCAAAGTGCTGGGATTACAGGCGTGAGCCACTGTGCCCAGCCCGATTTTCAGTTTTCTTTGCTCTTATTCCCGTGTAGTTTTCCCACAGTTTCAAGCACAGTATGGTCTTGTTTTGTTTTTGTTTTCTCACTGAACTTTTTCCATTAGGCTATTTTATGAATTTTCTGTTATGCTACTCTTTTTTTTGAGATGGAGTTTCGCTCTGTCATCCAGGCTGGAATGCAATGGTGAGATCTTGGCTCACTGCAACCTCTGCCACCCGGGTTCAAGCAATTCTCCTGTCTCAACCTCCTGAGTAGCTGGGACTACAGGTGTGTGCCAACACGCCTGGCTAATTTTTGTATTTTTAGTAGAGACGAGGTTTCACCATACTGGTCAAGCTGGTCTCGAACTCCTGACCTCAGGTGATCCGCCCGCCTCGGCCTCCCCCATTGTGCTACTCTTAGTCCTTAATTTTAAATCTATATAACTTTCTATCTCTCAAATAGCTAGGTAAAAATATAATTCATACATCTCCTATTGTTGGCTATTTAATCTGGGAGACTATGGATTTCAATGACTGGGGTGAGGGGTAATTTTGGAGGCAGGAGCACTGCTTCCCAAGGGGTACAGAAAAGGATAAAAGGGCCGGGCCCAGTAGCTCACGCCTGTAATCCCAGCACTTTGGAAGGCCGAGGTAGGCAGATCATTTGAGGTCAGGAGTTTGAGCCCAGCCTGATCAACATGGTGAAACCCCGTCTACTAAAAATACAAAAAAATTAGCAGGGTGTTCTGGCAAGTGCCTGTAATCCCAGCTACTCGGGAGGCTGAGACAGCAGAATTGCTCGAATCTGGGTGGTGGAGGTTGCAGTGAGCTGAGATTGCACCCCTGCATTCCAGCCTGGGCAAAAGAGGGAGGCTCTGTCTCAAAAAAAAAAAAAAAAAAAAAAGGAGAGAGAGAGAAAAGGATGAAAGAAGACAACAAACTTATGGTATTTTGCAGTTAGCCACACCAGATTTTTTTTTAATCATGTGTGTTTGTGTGTGTGTGTGTGTGTGTGTGAGACAGATCTTGCTCTGTCACCCAGGCTGGAGTGTAGAGGTGCAATCATAGCTCACTGCAGCCTCGACCTCCCTGGGCTCAGGTGATTCTCCCACGTCAGTGTCTGGAGTAGCTGGGACCCCAGGCACACACCAGGCCAGGCTAATTTTTAAATTTTGTATAGAGATGGGGTCTTAATATGTTGCCCAGGCTGGTACACCAGATTTTCTTTATCTGGGGTTTACGGTCAGGTTTGGGGGAGGTGGTCCATGAACCACACCCTAAAACCACACACAAGATGTCTGTACATATGTGAATGTGTATGATTTTGTACACATAGACACAAAACTTTCATCAGAATCCCAAAGAGTTTAATGATGTTTTTAAGTTTGTGATGATTTATTTTGTTGTTGTTTTAAACTTTTATTTTAGATTCGGGGGTACATGTGAAGGTTTGTTACACAGATGAACTCATGTCACAGGGGCTTGTGGTACGGATTATTTCATCACCCAGGTATTAAGCCCAGTACCTAACAGTTGTCTTTTCTGCTCCTCCTGCCTCCCCCTCCACCCTCAAGCAGATCCCAGTGTCTGCTGTTCCCTTCTTTGTGTTCATGAGTTCTCATCATTTAGCTCCCAATTATAAGTGAGAGTATGCGGTATTTGGTTTTCTGTTCCTGTGTGAGTTTGCTAAGGATAATAGACTCCAGCTCCATCCGTGTTCCTGCAAAAGACATGATCTTGTTTTTTTTTTTATGGCTGTGAGTTTAATGATTTTAAAAATATTTTTAAAACTACTGGTTTTGAGAGAAAAATGTCAAAGGGCGAGGCCCCTATAGTCTCTATGCTACGAGATACATCTGATAGACAGCTTTTGGGAACCTCATGCTGGCGTGTGCCCTGGGGCCTCTTCTTGGGAGAGATGAAAGCTCAGAGATCTTTAGGGAACCCGGATAGGGTTTGGCTGAGGCTGTAGAAAGATGTGGTGTGAAGTCAAGAGGGAAGGTCGTGGGCCTAGGCGGCTTAAAGATGCATCGTTTAGAACCACAACCTTGATGAACAAAACCGCTGCCTTCTGGGTGCCTGTAGTCCCAGCTGCTTGGGAGGCTTAGGTAGGAGAATCGCTTGAACCTGGGAGGCGGAGGTTGCAGTGAGCCAAGATCACACCACTGCACTCCAGCCTGGGGCATAGAGAGAGACTCAGTCTCAAAAGAAAAAAAAAGCCGGGCACAGTGGCTGACGCCTGTACTCCCAGCACTTTGGGAGGCTGAAGAGGGCAGGCACTTGAGGTCAGGAGTTGAAGACCAGCCTGGCCAACATGGTGAAACCCTGAGTCTACTAAAAATGCAAGAATTAGCCAGGCATGGTGGTGGGCGCCTGTAATCCCAGCTACTTGGGAGGCTGAGGCAGGAGAATCGCTTAAACCTGGGAGGCAGAGGCTGCAGTGAGCCGAGATTGCACCACTGCACTCCAGCCTGGGCGACAGAGTGAGACTCCACCTCAAAAAACAAACAAACAAAAAACGCTGCCTTCCTTGGTTCACCTGGAGCCTCAGTCCCCTCCTGGGTTACTCAGGTGGACACAGGTGACTCTTTTCCCCTGTTGTCCTGGTTTCAGTCAGAGATCTGAGGGCCAGGGATGGGCCTGCCCATGATCCCTAAGCCCCGTGCAGCTGTATCCCCTGTGCGACCCGGTAGTACCTCCCAGAGCCCTGTGACCGCCTTTCGTTATCACTTTCTGGAGCGTCAGGCCTCAAGGGCAGGCCTCAGAAAACAGAATTTCTCTGGCCTTCTGCCCTCCTTTCGCCTGCCCCAAGGCAGGACTCCAATCTTCCCTCACCTTTCCTGTTTTTTTTCTGGTACTTTTTTTCTTTGCTCCCTCCCGTTCCCTCAGCTTTATGACTGTGGGTCATGAGACTCTCTCATTCCAGACTGAGGGAAGGCATGCTGACATCAGGAGGCTTCCATAAAAACCCAAGAGGGCTGGGCATGGTGGCTTATGCCTATAATCCCAACACTTTGGGAGGCCAAGGCAGGTGGATCACCTGAGGTCAGGAGTTCAAGACCAGCCTGGGCAACATGGTGAAATACCGTCTCTACTAAAAATACAAAAATTAGCCAGGCATGATGGGCATGAATATCTGGGACTACAGGCGTGTACCAGGCTGGTCTGGAACTCCTGGGCTCAAGTGATCCTCCTACCTCGGCCTCCCAAAGTGCTGGGATTGTAAGTGTGAGCCACTGTGCCTGGCCTCCTTATGCTTTTTAGAGGAAACATGTTTATATCCCATGCACAGAGGTTTGTAAAGGGAGATATCATGTCAGAGAGCTGCTTAGCAGAGCTGACTGAAAAAGCTTTTGTGCATTTTGTGGACCTGTTGTGTCCACAGACAGGTTCCCCTAAAATAATCATTTCCCTCCCCTTCCTTGCCAACAGGGGCTCTAGTTATAATCGGTATGGATGGGAGAGACAGCAGCATGGACAGAGGCCTCTGGGCCAAAGAGAGTAACTCACTGGGGAACTACAGACAGTTCTGGGGTCCGGCTGGAGGGCAGAGGGTCATGACAGAGGCCTGGGTGGAGGCAGGCTGCACAGCTGAGCCTGTGGAAGACAGGAGCCGGAGAAACAAGGAACTTTAACATCCTTTGAAGGCAGCAGGAAGCCATGAAATGTTTTCCAGCATGTTTTGAAGAAAAGTACAAGTTAACTTATGGAAAGTATTTACCTATGACCCCTATGGCCAAATGGCCCAAATTCCTTAAAAAAATGATGATTTTTCCAGGTAGACCAAAGCAAGACTGTGGGGTCTTTGCATTCACTTCCTTTCTGTCTGCCCTCAGGTTCTCAGCAGCACCCAGCTCCAGCCCCAAGGCCTCTCCTGGATGCGCCTCTAGGACCTTGAGCTCAGTGTCTGTTCAACCCCTCACTGAACTCAGTTCTCCACCTCGGCCATTTGAGATGCTTAGTGAAATCCAAGGATGACTTTAATAGTTATTCACACAATATTTCCTTTAAATAAACTTGTTTTAATTAGTTACTTCTTTTTCATTTCTTTTTTTCTTCACCCCTGAGTAGAGATTTATTTCTTCTTATCCATATTGAAGTTTAATTTGTATACAATAAAATGTACCCGTTTTAATTATTCAGTTCAATGACTTTTGGCAAATGTATATGCACATGAAACCACAATCAACTTTTTTGGCCAGGCACGGTGGCTCATGCCTGTAATCCCAGCACTTTGGGAGGCTGAGGTGGGCAGATCACCTGAGGTCAGGAGTTTGAGACCAGCCTGGACAATATGGTGAAACCCTGTCTCTACTAAAAATTACAAAAATTAGCTGGGCGTGGTGGTGCCCACCTGTAATCCCAGCTACTTGGGAGCCTGAGGCATGAGAATTGCTTGAACCTGGGAGGCGGAGGTTGCAGTGAGCCAAGATCATGCCACTGTACTCCAGCCTGGGAGACAGAGCAAGAGCAAGACTCCGTCTCAAAAAAAAAAAAAAAAAAAAAAGCAGCTTAACAAATGGGAGGTGTTAAAGACATATTATCGTCAAACTAAGATTGTTCTTCCTTGAAGAACTTTACTAACTTTACATCCAGTGCTAGCTAAAATTCCTCATACCCCACCAGTGATCCAGCCGTCCATATCTCACACTTTCTATACTCTCTCTAATGGCTCGGAATCTGTTGAGCTGTGTGTCATAGGAAACCCAGTAACAGTGGCTTAAACTCATGCAGATTTAGTGTCCTCTTGTTGCAGAAAGTATGGAGGTGGGCCGTGTCCAGAACTGGAGCAGTGCCCCACCTGTCATCAATGCACCAAGACTTTTTTTTCTTTCTCTTAGGCCTTCCTAAGTGAGGGCTTTTGTTCTCGTGGTCTCAGGATGGCTCTCCAGCCCCACACCCCCAAACCTCATTCCAGGGCAGAGGAAGGAATGCAAGTGTGTCTTCTTTCTCTTCTCTGCTCCTTTTTTATTATTTCAGTCTAATTTTAATGGTTCCAAAAGGAATTGAGGCAATTGCTGGTGGGCAGCCTACCATGTTAAACAGAAGTTGATTATTTATGTTTTAACAAGAGATGTGGCTGGGCGCAGTGGCTCACGCCTGTAATCCCAGCACTTTGGGAGGCCGAGGTGGGCAGATCATGAGGTCAGGAGATTGAGACCATCCTGGCTAACACGGTGAAAACCCGTCTCTACTAAAAACAAAAAATTAGCCAGGCGTGGTGGCAGATGCCTGTAGTCCCAGCTACTCCAGAGGCTGAGGCAGGAGAATGGCGTGAACCCGGGAGGCAGAGCAGCTGGCCAGCCCTCCAGGAAATCTCAGCTAGTCTACTTTGGAAAGTTGTCCTAATCACTGCTGGAGCAATCACCAAGTTGAGGGTAGGGACTGTGTCTTTTCTGTATTCTTCACTCTCTCTCCGGAAGCCTCAGCCCTTCACATCTCTAAGCCCAGGTCCCAGAACAATTATAATTCTCATTCCAATTACTTTAAAAAAATTCCTGGGATTAGCTGAGCTCAATACATATGAAGGTGGGGAATGTTATGCCTTAGAAAGTAACATTTCCAGCCAGGCGCGGTGGCTCATGCCTGTAATCCCAGCACTTTGAGAGGCCGAGGAGAGTGGATCATTTGAGGTCAGGAGTTCGAGATCAGCCTGGAAAACACAGTGAAACCCCGTCTCTACTAAAAATACAAAAATTAGACGGGCATGGTGACATGTGCCTGTAGTCCCAGCTATTTGAGAGACTGAGGCAGGAGAATGGCTTGAACCTAGGAGGAGGTTGCAGTGAGCCGAGATCAGGCCACTGCACTCCAGCCTGGGCAACAGGGCAAGACTCCATCTCAAAAAAAAAAAAAAGAAAGAAAAGAAAGAAAGAAAGTGACATTTCCTAAGCATTCAAGTTAATCATAATCTTGAACATACATTTTCTTCTGTCAGTTGAAACCTTCCAATTATTATTAAAACTAATGGCAAAAACCACAATTACTTTTGCACCAACCTAATACTTTAACATTTGGTATGTTAAAATATGAATGACTTAAAACAGGAAAATTGAGATTTGATAGGCAAAGATAATAATAGTTAAGGTTTATTGATCACTTTCTAATCCTTTTCATTCCTTTTTTTTCTGGTTAATGTGGGATTTCTTACTAAACTCAGTGAGAGTGCTTATATCTAATCATTGAGAGGGATTTGGCTTTCATTGATAAAACCATTGGTAAAAGGCTGTTTTCAGGATTATGGCAACTTCTCAATGCCAGCAGCAACCTGTCTGAAAGGTGAGAGATCTGAGCATATTAAACCTGGCGTACCCATGTGATTTATAGGAACTATTAAGGATTATCAGGAAAAGTCCCAGGAAACAACCAGTGTGAACACAGCGTGTTCGTGGGTGATGTGAATACAGCGTGTTTGTGGGTGATGTGAAAACAGTGTGTTCGTGGGTGAGGAGTTCTCTGGTCCAGGCTCCGTGGGAAAGTGGATGGAAAGTGCATGCTCTGGGCACTGCTGCCATCTGCTGCTGCCTTGATTCAGGAAGGCATTTTGCAGATCACAGGCAGGGAGACGACAAAAAAAAAAACACCAAAGCTCATTTTGTTGACATTAAATGTTCAACGTTTCTATTGCTGGGCATTTGACACAAATATGTTCATTTACTTTTCTTTGATTCATGAATGTCTTCAGGTATTTGCAAAGGACAAGAGGCTTCCATTTGGTAATTTACGTCTATTTCCCATCATGCAACTACATTTATTTTGAATATCAGTTTGCATTAAGCTATTTAAAATTAAAGGAAGATAATCAGATAATGTATGGCTTTTTGCAGTATTATTTTGTAGGGGTCATATAATATCAGACTTTTTGGAGAATTCTTAAAATAACTCATCCTAACTTATTTAGAGTAGCCACTTCAGAGATTTATAAAATGAAAGTGAAAGCAGTTTTTCTGGCTGGTCCGATGGTAGTGGGTTATCAGAACTTATTAACATTAGTGTCACTAAAGTTGGTATACAACCCCCCACTGCTAAATTTGACTGGCTTTTTACCATTTGATTTTGTATTTCAATCAAACAAGCTAACTTTACAAAATATTCATGTTGGGGGGAAAGCATTCTTACATAAATGTCCCCCTCCTTTTCTTTTTAGGGTCTTACTGTGTTGTCCAGGTTGGAGTACAGTAGCACAATCATAGCTCACTGTAGCTCTAAACTCCTGGGCTCAAGCAATCCTCCTACCTTAGCCTCTTGAGTAGCTGGGACTACAGACACATGCCACCATATCCAGTTATTTTTTTTCCTTTTTTGTAGAGGCAGGGTCTCACTATATTGCCCAGGCTGGTCTCCAACTCCTTTGGCTCAAGTTATCCTGCTGCCTTGGCCTCCCAAAGTGCTGGCATTACAGGCGTTAGCCGCTGTGCCCAGCCTGAATGTACTTTTTTTTTTTTTTGAGCCAGAATCTCAGTCTGTTGCCCAGGCTGGAGTGCAGTGGTGCGATCTCGGTTCACTGCAACCTCCACTTCCCAGGTTTAAGCAATTTTCCTGCTTCAGCCTCCCAAGTAGCTGGGACTATAGGTGCGTTTCCTGTCAGCCCAGAGCCTCAGTCGGGGCCGTTGTCCTCAAACAAGGAGGCCCCTGTCCGCCAGCTTTGCGTTTGCACAGAACGGTTAACTTGACAGCGCTGTGTCCCCCAGCCCTCATATTTATTCACAATCCTTGCTGCACTTTATCTCCAGAATAAAAACCAGTCCGATCCAAAACAGACAGTGTTTGTGTCTGTTTCAATTTTCTGCTCAACCGATTCTGTTCGGTGGAGTCTCTCCAAGAAACTTCTCAATTAAGCTTTCATCAACATTGTTTCAGCATCAGAGTTATTTTTTTCCTTTCCTTGTTTGCTTCCGTCTCTACGGAATGGAATGATCAACTTCCTGATGCACCAAAGGGTTAACAACAAAGGCCTCCTGGAAAAGGAAGAAAAGCGGCCACAGAAAGCTGATTCCTGGGCAGCCGCCCTGGGCCTGAGAGGCAGCATCGCCTTGTGCTGCTGGTGAGAGGGTCTCAAGAATGGCTGAGGGTGCGACCCCTGAGCCTTGATGCCTTGGCCACATTTCTCAGTCCTCCCAGTCCTGGCCCCAGGGATCAGGACCACCCCAGCAGCTGTTGTAGCCCAATCATGATCACCACTATTTCTTGTAAAAAAAGATCCCTGAGGCAGTCAGCAGCTCCAAGAACATTTGATTGTCCAAGAAAATGCCGACCCCAAAAGGGGAGGGATTCTGTGTAAGGAAAGGAATGGGGTGGCTTTATCACCATCCTACACCAAATAAGAACGCCTAGGAGGAGGCAGGGATGCCGGCTCGCTGTTTTAGGAGGAAACAGGGAGGGGGACAAGTGTGCCTTTAAAACGATAGTTAGGGTCAGATGCGGTGGCTCACGTCTGTAATCCCAGCACTTCGGGAGGTCAAAGCAGGTGGATAACTTGAGGTCAGGAGTTCGAGACCAGCCTGCCAATGGTGAAACCCTGTCTCTACTAAAAATAGAAAACATTTTTCAGGCATGGTGGTGGGTGCCTGTAATCCCAGCTGCTCTGGAGGCTGAGGCAGGAGACTCGCTTGAACCTGGAAGGCGGAGGTTGCGATGAGCCCACATTGTGCCATTGCACTCCAGCCTAGGTGACAGAATGAGACTCCATCTCAAAAAAAAAAAAAAAGATAGTTGGCCCTCCGCATCTGCAGGTTCCACATTCATGGATTCAACCAACCGCTGACTGAAAATATTAGGGGGAAAAAATAGATAGTTTTGTCTGTTCTGAACATAGACTTTTTCAGGGTCATTATTCATTAAAGAATACAGCATAATAACTATTTCTATATCATGTACATCGTATTAGGTATTATCTAAATCTGTACTTGTAATCTAGAGATGATTTATAAGTATATGGGAGGATGTGCATAGGTTATATGTAAATTCTACATCTTTTTTTTTTTTTGAGACGGAGGTTTTGCTCTTGTCACCCAGGCTGGGAGTACAATGGTGTGATCGCGGCTCACCGCAACCTCCACCTCCTGGATTCAAGTGATTCTCCTGCCTCAGCCTCCTGAGTAGCTGGGATTACAGGCACCCACCACCACACCCGGCTAATTTTTGTATTTTTAGTAGAAACGGTTTCACCATGTTGGCCAGGCTGGTCTCGAACTCCTGACCTTACGTGATCCACCCACCTCAGGCTCCCAAAGTGCTGGGATTACAGGTGTGAGCCACCACGCCCGGCAATTCTACACCATCTTATGAGGGGCTTAAGCAACCATGGATTTTGGGATCCAGCAGGGGTCCTGGAACCACTGCCCACAGATACCGAGGGACGACTGTAGATGACTGTACATACCACATTGCGTTTACTCATTCATGTCCCTCGATGGGTACTTGGTTGCTTCTACCTTATGGCTAATTGTGAACTATGCTGCTATGAACACAGGTGTACACATATCTTCCCTTCTAGTCCCTGCTTTCAAGTCTTTTTTTCTTTTTTCTTTTTTTTTTTTTTTTTTTTTTTGAGACAAGGTCTTGCTCTGTCACCCAGACTAGAATGCAACGGTGCTATCATGGCTCACTGCAACCTCCGCCTCCCAGGTTCAAGTGATTCTCTTGTCTCAGCCTCCGAAGTAGCTGGAACTACAGGCATGTGCCACCATGCCCAGCTAATTTTTGTATTTTTAGTAGATTTGAGGTTTCACCATGTTGGCCAGGCTGGTCTCGAAATCCTGACCTCAAGTGATCCACCCGCTTCGGCCTCCCAAAGTGCTGGGATTACAGGCATGAGCCACCGTGCCCAGCCAAGTTTTAAAATTATTTGCAGACACGGGGGTCTCACTATGTTGCCCAGGCTGGTCTCGAACTCCTGAGCTCAAGCTATGTTCCCACCTCAGTCTCCCAAAGCACTGAGACTACAGGCTTGAGCCACCGTGCCCGGCCAGATTCTTTCGGGTTCACACCCAGAAGTGGAATTGGTGAATCATAAATAAGGTAATGCTAATTTTTTGTTTGTTTGAGACGGAGTCTTGCTCTGTCGCCCAGGCTGGAGTGCAGTGGCACGATCTCGGCTCACTGCAAGCTCCGCCTCCCGGGTTCACGCCATTCTCCTGCCTCAGCCTCCCGAGTAGCTGGGACTACAGGCGCCCGCCACCACGCCTGGCTGATTTTTTGTATTTTTAGTAAAAACGGGGTTTCACCGTGTTAGCCAGGATGGTCTCAATCTCCTGACCTCGTGATCCGCCCACCTCGACCTCCCAAAGTGCTGGCATTACAGGCGTGAGCCACCGCGCCCAGCCGGCAATGCTATTTTTAATTTTTTGAGGAACTGCCAGACTGTTTTCCACAGCGGCTGCACCATTTTCTGTTCCCACCAGCAGAGTGCAAGCGTTCCAATTTCTCCATGTCGATTCATTGTTTTTGGTCATATCTCACAAGTCAGTCAGCCAAGGTGGGTGGGGTCACGGCGTTCCTAAAATATTATACTTAAAAACGAGCGCAATCCTGGCCCTCGGTGTCAACCAGCTGACAGGGCCGAACGACCGCTGGGCCTCTGGCGCCCCCTGCAGGACGCAGACAGGGTGACAAGCGCTGGCTCGAACCTGGACAGCCCATGGGAGATGCTGCTCGGGGCTGGCCTGGTGGTGCCGATACTCGCCTCTCGCAGAGGCTCCAGGCAAGTCCCAGAGAAGGTGAGGCTCCCTGGGAGCCTTCACGCAGGAGAACAAAAGAAAGCCCGGTGTTCCCGCTCCTCACATAAGAAGCATCAGGGTAAGTGTGGGGGGCGCACAGAGAGGCAAAGACACGTAGGGGTTTTTTATATATATAGCAAGACATATATATATATGTCTTGCTGTGTTGCCTAGGCTGGAGTGCAGTGGCGCCATCTCAGCTCACTGCAACCTCCGCCTCCCAAGTTCAAGCAATTCTGCCTCGGCTTCCCTAGTGTGTGGGATTACAGGCACGTGCGCCACCAAGCCCGGCTAATTTTTGTATTTTAAGTAGAGACGGAGTTTCACCATGTTGGCCAGGCTGGTCTGGAACTCCTAACCTCAGGTGATCCGCCCACCTCGGCCTCCCAAAGTGCTGGGATTACAGGCGTGAGCCACTGCGCCCCGCCGGGATGCAAGATATTGATCAATATCAATACCTGTGACAGAAAAGTGGGCTGCAGGGAGAACAAGAGTGGCTCCTTACCCAGTCTGGAGAAAGCAAACTGCAGTATGATTCAGATCCAACAACCAGCGATCCAGGACCCAGCGTTAGAGCAAATCAGGCCTATTGGGCTCAAACTAGTTTTTTGAAAGTTTTTTCAAAGTAAGAGAATAATCGAGCAGACATTTGTTACACTGATGTTCCTAGCACCAGTATCCACAACAGCCACAGGGTGGAAACCCCAAATGCTCCTCTATGGATGAATGGATAAACCAGCTGTGGTGTGTTTCCACATTAGAATACTAGAGTTCTCAAATTCATACACACAGGGAGCAGAATGGTGGTGACCATGGAGCTGGATTGTGGGGGAGAGGAGCTTAGAATGGGAAGTTGTTATTTTTGAGTATGGAGTTTCAGTTTTTGCAAGATGAAAACATTCTGGAGATTGATTATGTACAATGTGAATGCACTTAACACTGAATGTACGGTACACTTAAAATGGCTAAGACGTTAAAATGAGCTTTGTTTTTTTCATGCCATTCTCCCGCCTCAGCCTCCCGAGTAGCTGGGACTACAGGCGCCCGCCACCAAGCCCGGCTAATTTTTTGTATTTTTAGTAGAGATGCGGTTTCACCGTGTTAGCCAGGATGGTCTTGATCTCCTGATCTCCTGATCCGCGCAACTCGGCCTCCCAAAGTGCTGGGATTACAAGCGTGAGCCACCATACCCAGCCTTTTTTTTTTTTTTTTTTTTGACAGAGTCTCAATTCTGTCACCCTGGCTGGAGTGTAGTGGTGCAACCTTGGCTCACTGCAGCCTCCACCTCCTGGGTTCAAGCAATTCTCATGCCTCAGCCTCCTGATAGCTGTGATTACAGGCATATGCCACCACACCCAGCTAATTTTTGTCTTTTTTAGTAGAGATGGGGTTTCGTCATGTTGGCCAGGCTGTGCTAGAACTTCTGACCTCAAGTGATCCGCCTGCCTCAGCCTCCCAAAGTGCTGGGATTACGGGCATGTGCCATAGCACCTGCCCTCACCTACATAATTTATGGGCGGTCCACAGCCACCTAGTACAACTCCAGGGCATGAGTCTCAGTCCAGTCTACATTCTAGACTCTGCAGGAATGGTGGCTCCGAGAGTCATGCAGGGCACAGCCCACTTGGTCATCCACGGTGGCACTGTGGCCCTTAGGATAGAGGCCTGATATCGTTTGGATGTCTGCTCCAAATCTCATGTTGAATTGTAATCACCAATGTTGGAGGTGGGGCCTGGTGGGGCGGTGATTGGATCATGGAGGCAGATCCCTCATGGCTCGCTGCTGCCCTCAAGATAGTGAGTGAGTACTCGAAATCTGGTTAACAGTATGGCACCTCCCCCCTACTCTTCCTCCCGCTCCTGTCATGTGACACATCTGTTCCTCTTTCACCTGCTGCCATGATTGGAAGCTTCCTGAGGCCTCCCCAGAAGCAGATGCAGTGCTACGCTTACTCTACAGCCTGCAGAACTGTGAACCACTTAAACCTCTTTTCTTATAAATTACCCAGTCTCCAGTATTTCTTTTTTTTTTTTTTGAGACGGAGTCTCGCTCCGTCGCCCAGGCTGGAGTGCAGTGGCGCCATCTTGGCTCATTGCAAGCTCCGCCTCCCGGGTTCATGCCATTCTCCTGCCTCAGCCTCCCCAGTAGCTGGGACTACAGGCGCCCGCCACCTCGCCCGGCTGATTTTTTTATATTTTTGTATTTTTAGTAGAGACAGTGTTTCACCGTGTTAGCCAGGAGGGTCTCGATCTCCTGACCTCGTGATCCGCCCACCTAGGCCTCCCAAAGTGCTGGCATTACAGGCGTGAGCCACCGCGCCTGGCCAGTATTTCTTTATAGCAACGCAAGAATGGCCTAATACAAGGCCAAAAAGGTCACATTTTCAGCAGGCTTGCCCTGTTCACCAGAGCCAGTGCTTCCCAAATCTGTACAGCAGGAGCCTAAAAAAGCAGAGGCCCAATGCCAAGGATTACATTTTCTATTTTAATCAAAAGATGACTTCCCTATAGTTTAATTTCTTTCTTTTTTTTTGAGACAGAGTCTCACTCTGTCGCCCAGGCTGGAGTGCAGTGGTGCCATCTCGGCTCACTGCAACCTGCGCCTACTGATTTGAAGCAATTCTCCTGTCTCAGCCTCCTGAGTAGCTGGGATTACAAATGCACACCACCATACCCGGCTTTTTTTTTTTTTTTTTTTTTTTTTTTTTTGAGACGGAGTCTCGCTCTGTCCGCCAGGCTGGAGTGCAGTGGTGCGATCTTGGCTCATTGCAAGCTCCACCTCCTGGGTTCACGCCATTCTCCTGCCTCAGCCTCCCGAGTAGCTGGTACTACAGGTGCCCACCACCAACGCCCAGCTAATTTTTTGTATTTTTAATAGAGATGGGGGTCTCACCATGTTAGCCAGGATGGTCTCGATCTCCTGACCGCCTGTCTCGGCCTCCCAAAGAGCTAGGATTACAGGCGTGAGCCACCATGCCCAGCCTAAGTTTTGCATTTTTAGTAGAGACGGGGCCTCACCATGTTGATCAGGCTGGGCTTGAACTCCTGAGCTCAAACAAAATATTTTCTATAATATAATGTACGATGTAATTAGAATTGAATATATTCTAATATATATTTTATTATAAGAAGCAAGATGTAATTACTTTAATTAATCATATAAATAAGCCCACCTTAGTGCTATAAGGAGAGAGTGATCATTTACTTCAAGAGTACATTGTGCATATTCCTGTCCAATAGGTGGAAATCAATAATTACAGCATGAAGCTAATCTTTCCATGAGTTCACTTTAAAAATTCAAATATTGTAATTAGAACATTGCCCAGGCATCCAATTTAGACTTAATGATACTTGCCAGCAGGCTCTGATGTTTTAACTGAGATGATAATTATGCTATAGATGGATTGATGTGGTGATTAACTGCTACATGTGTCACTGCCGATAGCATTACAATTAAAACAACTCCCTTTGCAGCTCACAGCCTCATCACCTGAGGTCACGGGAACTGTTTGTCTCCCATGCTCCAGCAACACCCACTTGCCAAGTTTTTGCTTCCTATGGATATTTATTCACCATCTAATGCAGACCAACTGGCAAGACTCAAGAGAAAGCTGTACACAAGGAAAAGAAAAGAAGATGATAGAGGAAAATAAGATAATAAAGGAAAGAAGTATTCGTGGCGGCAAACGTAGGATGTGGGTATATTCACAGATGTGAGTGTTGTCGTGACAAAGGAAAAGTCAGGCCTGTGGAAGAGAAATACCATTGAAAAACTGTCCTGGTCAAACTTCCACCAAAAAGTACAGTATGGGGAGAGAGAGTAAGTAAAAAGAGCCACTTTACGGCAGAGAAAGCTGACAAACACACCTCAGCCAGGGGAACAAGGTATACATTACCAGGGATAACTCATGTTGGTAATATATATCCAGATTCTCTCTGTGCCTCCCAGGCTGGAGTGCAGTAGCACGATCTCGACTCACTGCCACCTCCACCTCCCGGGTTCAAGCAATTCTCCTGCCTCAGCCTCCCAAGTAGCTGGGATTACATGTGCACCACCACGCCCGGTTAATTTAATTTTTTTTGTATTTTTATTTTTCATTTTTTCAAGACTGAATCTCTCTCTGTGGCCCAGGCTGGAGTGCAGTGGTGCGATCTCCGCTGTCTGCAACCTCCACCTCCCAGGTTCAAGCGATTCTCCTGCTTCAGCTTCCTGAGTAGCTGGGATTACAGGCGGGTGCCACCACACCTGGCTAATTTTTGTATTTTTAGTAGAGATGGGGTTTCACCATGTTGGCCAGGCTGGTCTCCAGCTCCTGGCCCCATGTGATCCTCCAGCCTTGGCCTCTGAAAGTGCTAGGATTACAGGCGTGAGCCACAGTGTGTTTTTTGATTGTTTTGTTTTGTTTTCTGAGACAGTGTCTTGCTCCCAGGCTGGGGGTGCAGTGGAGTGGTGTGATTATGGCTCACTGCAGCCTCTACCTCCTGGGCTCAAACAATTCTCCCACCTCAGCTAACAAATAGCTGGGACAACAAGCGTGTGCCTCCACAATCAGCTAATTTTTTTTTTATGGTTTTGTGGAGATAAATTCTTGCCATGTTGCCTGGGTTGGTCTCAGACTCCTGGGCTCAAGTGATCCTCCTGCCTCAGGCCTCCCAAAGTGCTGGGATTATAGGCGTGAGCCACTGCGCCTGGCCCTCAGGTTAATTTTGATTGCATTGTGTAACTAGGTGGTCCCTGACTCCAGTGGCCCCCCCAAAACTTAACCCCTCACCTCTTCTATATCAATTTTCCCCACCATCTGAAAACATGCACCCATCTTAACCGTCTTGAAAAACGACGATTCCAGCTGGGCGCGGTGGCTCACGCCTTTAATCGCGGCACTATGGGAGGCTAAGGTGGGCGGATTGCTTGAGGTCAGGAGTTTGAGACCAGCCTGGCCAACGTAGTGAAACCGCATCTCTGCTAAAAATACAAAAATTAGCCACTCATAGTGGTGCATGCCTGTAGTCACAGCTACTCGGGAGGCTGAGGCAGGAGAATTGCTTGAACCCCGGAGGCGGAGGCTGCAGTGAGCCGAGATCTCGCCACTGCGCTCCAGCCTGGGCAACAGAGCAAGATTTCATCTTAAAAAAAGAAAAGAAAAACTGTGATTCCTCCCAACACCGTGGCCGTCTCTTTGCCTTCCACTCACTGCCAGCCTCCTATTCTGTATCCGGGAGGTGGATACAAATGGGTTCCGAATGCCACTGGGCACATCCAGTAGATGTTCCCTTTAAAATGTTTTTTTGAATCCCCCTGCTTTCTCGGGTCACCAGTTCTGTCTTGACAAACCCAGTGGCTGCTGAGTCCTTCTTCTCCTTAACCCAACTCTCACATGAAGCTCCTCCCTTCTGCCTGACTCTGCTTCCCTTTCTCTGCCTTCTCCAGCCCTTGGCCTACACAAATGTGCCTGTCCTTGATACATCTCCTACCCCACGGCTTCAGCCAGCTAGTTCCACATGAGTATCTCACTGGAACTTCAAGCAACCTCTTCACTACCAACCTTGTCATCCTTTCCTTCTCTTTTTCAGAACTGCCTCCCTCACTCAACTTCCCTGTTTTGATTCACGGAATGATCATCGCCTCTGCCCCTCGCCGGAAACCTTACGAGGCTTCTCCAAGGTTTCCCATCCACTGTCAATCACTTGGTTGTGTCTGAATTGTTCTTCAAAATGATTCCTCTGTTGTATTCTTTGCTTTCATTTCCATTCTTGTCCAGCTGCTTGTCTCTAAATTATAGCAACATTTAAAAAAAAAAGTTAAAAAAAAAAAAAAAGGTGGCCAGACAGTGGTTTACGCCTGTAATCCTAGCACTTTGGGAGGTCGAGGCAGGCAGATCACCTGAGGTCAGGAGTTCAAGACCAGCCTGGCCAACATTGCGAAACCCTGCCTCTACTAAAAATACAAAAATTAGCTCAGCGTGGTAGCGGGCGCCTGTGATCCCAGCTACTTGGGAGGCTGAGGCATGAGAATCGCTTGAACCTGGGAAGTGGAGGTTGCAGTGAGCCGAGATCACGCCACTGCACTCCAGCCTGGGAGACAGAGTGAGACTCCGTCTCAAGATAAATAAATAATAATGAAAATAATTTTTAAAAAGGTGTTCCTGGCCAGGCACGGTGGCTCATGCCTGTAATCCCAGCACTTTGGGAGGCTAAGGTGGGCGGATCACTTGAGGTCAGGAGTTCGATACCAGCCTGGCTAACATAGGGAAACCCGTCTCCAAAAAAAAAAAAAAAAAGGTATTCCTGCACATAGCTCATGAAAGGGGAAAAAAAAATCACAGGACAGTTCCTGACTGACCTGGCTGAGCTCCATGAGCTGTGAGTATTAACCCCGCCCCACCCAAGTCTGCTCTGCCATTTGCCTGCCTTTTCCACGCCTCCTTCAATACCATTTCCACCAAACAACGCCTCAATTAGGAATGAATCAGGCTCCCCTACTGCTGCAATGCAGATGCCCTGCCAGGGGCAAAGGACCCCAGAATCTGGACCCACTCTACCTTTCCTACTTGTATAGTGAGTTTTACAATGAGTAGTTTATAAAAATCTGATTTTTGTCCCCCTCCGCCCCCCTCAAAAGCCCTCACAGATCGGTTTTGGGGAATGCTTGGAACCCAAGCAACTCATTATTTGTATAAGTGTAAATAAACCAAAAGAGTCAAACCTTTCTGCCTTTATTAAACATACTGCATGCACCTCAGTAACTTAATAGTCGCTGAAGGAAACTTTCTGTTTATAGAGTATGTCACCTACGAAATGAAGAAGAAATAGAATTAAAACATCACCGTTTTGCAACCCCTGATGAATTAACAAAGTTAGGCAACAATTATTAACAGCTGTTAGTACCACAAAAAGAGGTAATCTGACGTTATGTACCTCTTCATCGAAGTTCAAAATACCATTTATAAAGTAAGGCCAAAAAAGATACAACTGGAATCTGATCAAGACTCCAGACCCAACCACCCACTTACAGGAGACGCCGAGGAAGGGAGCCCTTTAAACACCACCACTGAGGGCAGTCATGAAGCGAACCTGTGAAAACGCCACAGGTTTCCTCAACAAACAAATTGCAAGAGAGAGAGGGAGAAACCTGTACGTTAGAAGAGAATTAAGAGTCAGGAAGTAGATTAGTGGTTGCCAGGGGCTAGGGGGCAGGAGGGGGAAATGGGAGTGACTGCTAATGAACACAGAGATTTCATTCTGGGGTGATGAAAACGTTCTGGAATTAGATAGTGGGTGATGGTTGCAGAATCTTCTGAATATGCTAAACATAAGTGCAGTGGCGTGATCTCACTGCAGCCTCTGCCACCTGGGTTCAAGTGATTCTCCTGCCTCAGCCTCCCGAGTAGCTGAGATTAGAGGCATGAGCCACCATGCCCAGATAATTTTTGTATTTTCAGTAGAGATGGGGTTTCACCATGTTGGCCAGGCTGGTCTCAAACTCCAAACGTCAGGTGATGTACCCGCCTCGGCCTCCCAAAGTGCTGGGATTACAGGCATGAGCCACTGTGGCTGGCTGAATTGTATACTTTTAAGGGTGACTTTTATATGTGAGTTATATCTTAACTAAAAAAAAGGTTTTAAGAAATACATTAACTGGGCCGGGCGCGGGGGTTCACGCCTGTAATCCCAAAGTTTGGGAGGCCAAGGTGGTTGGATCGCTTGAGCCCAGGAGTTCAAGACCAGCCTGGGCAACATGGTGAAACTCTGTCTCCATTAAAAACACAAAAATTACCCGGGTGTGGTGGCATGCACCTGTAGTCCCAGCTATTAGGGAGGCTGAGGCACAAGAATCACTTGAACCCAAGAGGCGGAGGTTGCAGTGAGCTAAGATCGCACCACTGCACTCCAGCCTGGGTGACAGAGTGAGACTACGTCTCAAACAAACAAACAAAAGGAAACACATTAACCAATTACAGTGGATGGGTCTTATTTTGGATTCAAATTCAAAATACAAGCTGGAAAAAACTTTTGTTTTTTTTTTTTTTAGACAGAGTCTCACTCTACATACATATTCTTTATACTTAGTTAAAATGCATTCTTGTTTGTTTAAGGACAACTTAGGTGGCAATTTCTGTGCCTAGAGAAGAGGCTGGCAGAAGCTATGGGCGCTCCCTCTGGTCTTTGCTGGCCACCTACTGCTTGAGTAATGGATTTGTAGCAAGCTAGAATGTTTATTTCATGCCAAAGTGGGGGTGGCAGGGCATGGCTGATTTGAGGGGTCAGGATGAAGTGGAGAAGGTATTTTGGGCACATTCTCTGCAGCACACAAGGAAGCTCTAGTGGGCTTAGCACAGGCTTTTTGGAATTGGACAGACCTGGGTTTGATCCTAGCTTAGCCATGGAATCCTTCACGCCACATCCCAGATTTGCAGGATCATTGAATGGAGGTGTCAGTGAAACAATCACTGTAAAAGTCAGTAATGTAGCAGCTCTACCATTAGAAAGGGATTGCAACAGATATCAGGGAACAGTGGGGTTTTTTAATTATTATTATTATTATTATTTTTTGAGACAGAGTCTCACTCCACACTGGAGTACAGTGGCGCAATCTCAGCTCACTGCAACCTCCGCCTCCCGGGTTCAAGCGATTCTCCTGCTTCAGCTTTCCAAGTAGCTGGAATTACAGGCATGTGCCATCAAGCCCGGAAAATTTTTGTATTTTTAGTAGATATGGGATTTCACCATGTTGGTCAGGCTGGTCTTGAACTCCTGACCTCAGGTGATCTGCCTGCCTTGGCCTCCCAAAGTATTGGGATTACAGGCGTGAGCCATGGTGCCTGACCGGGGTTAATTTTTAAGTGGTGTAAAATTGTGACTGACAGCAGGTGACAGATGCCATGGTTATGCTTTTCAGCATCCAGCTTTCTTTTCAGTACCAAGGAGGTGGACAAAGCTAAAAACCACATTTCCCAGAAGGCCCTGCAGCTGGGTCTGGAGGTGATGTAGGTTCAGCCTCTTAGATGCACTAACTCACTGCAAGACTTGAATTTCTAATCAGATGGGGTGGGGGCTGGCAGGATGAGGCTTACATTTTGCTGGGACAGACTGGAGCAGAGAGCAGGGATTCATGGCCATAACTGCCTCCTGGCAGCCGAGGATCTCCTGAAGCTGGGCAGGGGCATGAGCTCTCTCAAAGGCCCAGACCTGCGCCAGGCTTTGGGCAGTGTTGATCCCTTCTGCTTATATTAGCTAGAGTGAAGTTCATGACCAACTCAGAGGCTCCTTTGGGAATCTGATGACAGCTGTGGATCTTCTTTCCAGGAAAACACATGCACATGAGGAGGAGACAGAAGATTTTTTATAAAATACAAGGAGTGCTAGGATCTTCTAAGCCCCTCCAAGGACCAGGTCTAGAGGCTGGGAGGTCACGCCTCTCATCTCTAACTAGAGTGCATTGTCCTGGAGAAGCATGGGCCTTGCCATGGGACGGGTTCAGCCTCTGGTACTTGAGCAGAGGGACTGCCTCCCTGCCTTTGTCATGGCCCTGCAGTGTGGAGAGGCTCCAGGAGGAGTGTCTGCAGTGCGGAGGGCCAGGCATTGAGATGCAGAAAAAGGGAAGTTGCATTTATCCAGGTGAAAAACGAAACCCCTGCTGGCTCAGGCCTGTAATCCCAGCACTCTGCGGGCGGATCACGAGGTCAAGAGATCGAAACCATCCTGGCCAACATGGTGAAACCCTGTCTCTACTAAAAATACAAAAATTAGCTTGGTGTGGCGATGCGTGCCTGTAGTCCCAGCTACTTGGGAAGCTGAAGCAGGAGAATCGCTTGAACCCGGGAGGCAGAGCTTGCAGTGAGCTGAGATCGTGCCACTGCACTCCAGCCTGGGTGACAGAGGGAGACTCTGTCTCAAAAAAAAAAAAACCCAAGAAGCTCAGTAGTTATACAGTAAATTATCTAAAGCCTCCGAGACTCTGCAAACAAAGCAGTTAGTTACAACATGGACCTCCTCAGGCTCTGCCAAAGTTGTTCTTGGGTTGTCTGGACATCTCTCTATCTCAAACTGAAGGGCTGTGTGTATTGGAGCAGAGGCAGTGGAGGACTTATTTTCAAAATGTAAGCCTTCACACAGACTACCCTGTTTGTGGAAGGGGCCATTCAAACTAGAGAACCTGGCTGGGTGTGGTGGCTCACGACTGTAATCCCAGCACTTTGGGAGGCCAAGACAGGTGGATCACCTGAATTCAGGAGTTCGAGACCAGCCAGGCCAACATGGTGAAACACCATCCCTACTAAAAATACAAAAATCAGCCGGGTGTGGTGGCACATGCCTGTAATCCCAGCTACTCAGAAAGCTGAGGCAGGAGAATCGCTTGAACCCAGGAGGTGGATGTTGCAGTGAGCCGAGATCATGCCACTGCACTCCAGCCTGGGCGACAGAGCGAGACTCAGTCTCAATAAATTAAAAAAAAAAAAAAAAAAATTGGCCAGGCACGGTGGCTCACGCCTGTAATCCCAGCACTTTGGGAGGCCAAGGTGGGCGGATGACGAAGTCAGGAGTTCGAGACCAGCTTGACCAACATGGTGAAACCCCGTCTCTACTAAAAATACAAAAATTAGCCCAGCGTGGTGGCACGTGCCTGTAGTCCCAGCTACTCGGGGGGCTGAGGCACGAGAATCTCTTGAACCTGGGCCGCAGAGGTAGCAGTGAGCCGAGATAGCGCCACCGCACTCCAGCCTGGGTGACAGAGTGAGACTCCGTCTCAATAAAATAAAAAAATAAATAATACAAATAAAAATTATCGTGTTTTGGTGATTTTGAGTTTTTAATTTATAGTGATTTCAAACTCATATTTCTATCATTTTATGTTCAATAATTTTATATTTATATAGAATGATTTTATACCTGTTATTATTATTATACATAATATGTTAACTAAAAATTTTTTTTTCTTTAGAAAGGAGATCCTTTTACCAGTATCGCTAAGACCCTCAGTAGCTCATGTCAAACCCATCATCATTATTTGAGGGGTGGGTACAAAAACATGAGTTGTTGATGATGAGTATGGGAAGAAATACCCAACATTCCTCCCCAAATTCTGGGCCAATTCAGGAGCCTACTCCATACAGGCAGGACAGAGGAATGAAATATGTCCTCCAATGGAGTTACAGGAGGTGGGTACAGCACAGCTGAGGAATGAGGACGTGCGCTTCCGCGGGAGGGGAACTTCAGGGAATTGCAGGAAAATCGGAGATTAGAGGATGTGGAGAGGCGGGGAAGGGCAGCCTTGCAGCTGCTTGGGATCTACTGGGATCGGACAGCAGAAAGGGAGTAAGATGAAGTGTCCCATTAACAGCCACCTGAGGAAGGGAGAGGGACTTGTCCCCACATCAGGGCCCAGGTGGCTGTGAGCCGCATCATTCAGACCCCAGGCTCAGACTGAAAAACAACAGAACAAACGGCTCTCCCTGGGGCCTGGGAATCCCAGGAGAGAGTAATAATAATCATTCCAGGAGGGAACTTGCTGGGGTGTCTGGCTTATCACCCCGCACAGGGCAGGGAGCTGTCAGAGAAGACCTAAAACAATCAGAAACCAACTAGAAGGTGGCTGGCTTTTCATGATTTTCATGGCGATGCCCTGGCAATTTTAAACAATGCCAACAAGAAAAGGCTCCTCCCCCAAAGCCTCTATTGGTCTAAATTCTAAAATGTTGCTGCAGTTGCCCCTGGATTTCAGTCATATACATGTAGGATTGGAATGAGCACATTTTAAGTCTTCCCTTTACTACGCATCATATGACTACATGAGAGTTAATTTGGAGAACTCTCAAGCCAACACGACGTGCAGACTCAGTTAAAACATTTGTTTGAAGAGTGAGTTCCTTTAGGTTCCCCAGGACTCACATGGTTAGTAATAAACTACCATTTGACATCTGTAGACTACTTCATCCAACAACGGCAGAATATACTTTCTTCTCAAGTTCACACGGAACACTCACCAAGATAGACGATATTCCGGGCAATAAAAGGTACGTTTATGCCTCAACAAGTCTAAAAAAATAGAAATCATACAACATCTGCTCTCAGACCACATGGAATTAAACTAGAAATCAATAACAGAACAATATCTGGAAAATCCCCAAATATTTGAGGGTTAAACAATAAACTTGTATTAGTCCGTTCTCACACTGCTATAATGAATTTCCCCACCAGGTGCAGTGGCTCAAGCCTGTAATCACAGCTCTTTGGGAGGCCAAGGAGGGCAGATCACCTGAGGTCAGGAGTTCAAGACCAACCTGGCCAACACGGTGAAACCCCATCTCTACTAAAAATTACAAAAAATTAGCCGGGTGTGGCGGCAGGCACCTGTAATCCCAGCTACTTGGGAGGTTGAGGCAGGAGAATCGTTTGAACTTGGGAGGCAGAGGTTGCAGTGAGCCGAGACTGTGCCATTGCACTCTAGCTTGGGCAACAAGAGCAAAACTCCATCTCAAAAAAAAAAGAGACCAGGCACTGTGGCTCATGCCTGTAATCCCAGCACTTTGGGAGGCTGAGGCAAGCAGATCACTGGAGGTCAGGACTTCCTGACCAACGTGGTGAAAACCCATCTCTACTAAAAATACAAAAATTAGCTGGTCGTGGTGGTGCATGCCTGTAATCCCAGCTACTTGGGAAGCTGAGGCAGGAGAATCGCTTGAACCTGGGAGGCAGAGGTTGCAGTGAGCTGAGATCGCTCCATTGCACTCCAGCCTGGGCAACAAAAGCAAAAAAACTCTGTCCCAAAACTGGGTAATTTATAAAGGAAAGAGGTTTAATTGACTCACAGTTCTCATGGCTGAGGAGGCCTCAGGAAATTTATAATCACGGCGGAAGAAGCAGCAAGCACCTTCTTCATAAAACAGCACTAGAGAGACCACAACAAGCAGGAGAGGAACTACCAAAGAAACACTTATAAAACCATCAGATCTCGTGAAACTCACTCACTATCACGAGAATAGCACGCGGGAAACCACCTCCATGTTTCAATTACCTCTCACCAGGTTCCTTCCTCAACACCTGAGGATTACAATTCAAAGCTGGGTGCGGTGGCTTATGTCTGTATTCCCAGCACTTTGGGAGGCTGAGGCGGGTGGACCACCTGAGGTCAGGAGCTCGAGACCAGCCTGGCCAACACAGTGAAACCCCATCACTACTAAAAATACAAAAATTAGCTGGGCACGGTGGTGGGCACCTGTAATCCCAGCTACAGGGGAGGCTGAGGCAGGAGAATCACTTGAATCCAGGAGAAGGAGGTTGCAGATCACACCATTGCACTCCAGCCTGGGCAACAAGAGCAAAACTCCGTCTCAAAAAAAAAGAAAAAAAATTTTTTTCAAGATGAAATTTGGGTGGGAACGCAAAGCCAAACCATATATATATAATTTTTTTTTAAGACAGTCTTGCTCTGTCGCCCAGGCTGGAGTGCAGTGGAGTGATCTCGGATCACTGCAACCTCCATCTCCCGGGATGGAGAGATTCTGGTGCCTCAGTCACCCAGCCACCATCATGCCTTGCTAATTTTTGTATTTTTAGTAGAGATAGGATTTCGCCATGTTGGCCAAGCCAGTCTCGAACTCCTGACCTCAGGTAATCTGCCCACCTCAGTCTCCCAAAGTGCTGGAATTACAGGTGTGAGCCACCAAGCCCAGCCCATATTAACACTTCTTTTTCTTTTTTTTTTTTTTTTTTTGATACGGAGTCTCACTCTGTCACCCAGGCTGGAGTACAGTGGCATGATCTCGGCTCACTGCAACCTCCACTCTCCGAGTTCAAGCGATTCTCCTGCCTCAGCCTCCCAAGTAGCTGCGATTATAGGCGCCTGCCACCGCTCCCGGCTAACTTTTGGTATTTTTAGTAGAGACGGGATTTCACCATCTTGGCCAGGCTGATCTTGAACTCCTGACCTTGTGATCCACCCGCCTCAGCCTCCCAAAGTGCTGGGATTACAGGCGTGAGCCACCACACCCCGCCAACACTTCTAAATAACATATTTAGAACTAAATAAAAAATGAAAATACATCCCATTTATGGGGTGCAGCAAAAAGAGTGTTTAGAGGAAAATTGATAGCATTAAATGCATACATTAGTAAAGAAGAAAGATCTATAGTCCATATTCTAGGTTCCCACCTTAAGAAGCTAGAAAAAGAAAAGCAAATTAAATCCAAAGTAAGCAGAAGAAAAGAACTAATAAAAATTAGAGCAGAAATCAATTAACTTAAAAAACAGGAAATCAGTAGAGAAGATCAGCCTCCGGCCAGGCTGACAAAGACGAAAAAGAGAGAATACACAAATCACTAATATCAGAAAGAGAAATTAAATGAAACAGTTGCCATGGACAAGCTGAAAGACCCAGAATAGCCAACAACGTTGAAGCAGAACAAAGTCACAGGACTGACCCTACCCAACCTCAAGATGGACTGTATAAAGCTACAGTAATCAAGACAGTGTGGTATTAGTGAAAGAACAGATAGATCAATGCAACAGAATAGGGAACCCACAAACTGGCACACATAAGGGTAGTCAAGTGATGTTTCACAAAGAGGCAATGGCAGCACAGCAGAGAACAGATTAACAAACGGCTCTGGAACAATGGGATTTAAATTGATTGTGTGTATGTGAGAGAGAGAGAGAGAGCGTCTCATTCTGTCACCCAGGCTGGAGTGCAGTATCACGATCTCGGCTCACTGCAACTTCCACCTCCTGGCGCAAGCGATTTTCATGTCTCAGCCTCCCGAGCATCTGGGATTACAGGCATCTGCCACCACACCCGGCTAATTTTTGTATTTTAGTAGAGACGGGGTTTTACCATGTTGGCCAGGCTGGTCTCGAACTCCTGACCTCAGATGATCGGTTCGCCTCGGCCTCCCAAAGTGCTGTGATTACAGGCAGGAGCCACCGGTCCGGCCAAAATTTTATATTTTAAAAATCAATTTAAGGCCGGGCATGGTGGCTCACACCTGTAATCTCAGCACTTTGGGAGGCCAAGGCGGGTAGATCATCTGAGGTCAGGAGTTCGAGACTAGCCTGGCTAACATGGTGAAATCCCGTCTCTACTAAAATTACCAAAAAATTAGCCAGGCATGGTGGCGGGTGCCTGTATTCCCAGCTACTCCGGAGGCTGAGGCGGCAGAATCGCTTGAACCCGGGAGGCAGAGGTTGTAGTGAGTAGAGATCGTGCCATTGCACTCCAGCCTGGGCGACAGAGCGAGGAGACCCTGTCTCAAAAAAAGAAAAAAAGGAAAGAAAATTTAAGTGTGTTTAATGTAAAAGTGAAAACACACAGCCTTTACGCAGGGAACACAAGATATAATACTTGGTAGGTGGAAAGTTCATTTCATAACATGAAATCTTTTTCTAAATTTGAAAAAAAAAAACTTTAAAATGGACATATCTTCTTTTTTAAATTGTTAATTGCTTCTTTTAAAATTAATGGACTAATCGCAAAATCCAGTGATACATACTGATTATTTCATGCGTTTTACTGAAAATAATTTTGTAGTAAGAGGATTGTTCAAAATGACCCGCTCTGGGGGTCAAGGGGTCGGGCCCCCACTGCAGAGCCTGGAAAGGCAAAGACCCCCGAGGCTGCGCTCCCCTCGCCCTTCGTGTCGGGTCCTGCCCCACCCGGCAGCTCCTGGGACCCGCTGTGCGGCCCAGGGCTGGGGGCCCAGGCTGCCCCTGCTGAGAAGCCAGGTGCGCGTTCAGCCCCCGGGAGTCTCTCCGAGGCTCTGTGCGCCTCATTCCTCCACGGCGTCACTTTTTAAAAAGATAATTGCTAATTATGTATTTTAAAATGTTAGCTTCCACGGACCGAATGTTTCCCTTTCTGTTTAGAGTGGGGTTCCTAACCTCCTTCCAGAATAGCTCAAGGTCCCCAGTGCAGCCGCTTTGAAACAAAACCACTTGGTAACAGGAGCGCAGGACTATGGCGAAACCGCCAGGAAAGCTTCCTAAAGAGCTCAAACAAAACAAAACAAACCTTGGAAAGCTCAAGAAAAGCATCGTGGGTGACACCAGAATCTGGGACTTCATTCATTCATACATTCATTCATTCATTTTTAAAGAGGGTCGTTGGGAAGGAAAAGGGGAGGGGACGCCGGGCTGCAGGGCTCCTCGCAGGACACACGCTCCCCCTCCACGGGGAACCGGGGGTGGGGGCGCGGGCGTGGGGGGCCGCGCCAGCCCTGCGTGGGGTCCGGGACCACCGAACCGCGGGGACCCCTGATCCCGGGGGGGCCACTGAATTCCAAGGGGCCCCCGCCCGCCCGGCCCCACCCCCGCGGCGGGTTGCCTCTTCCTTCTTAAGAGGACGTCCCCTCCCGCTCTAGACGTCCTGGCCCTGTGAGACTGAGGCCCCGCCGGGGGCACCGTGGGAGTCTTTGATGGATGTGGCTGATGCAGGGTTTCCATGCAAATCACCCACAATGCTTTGAGCAGGGTTGCCCGAGCTCCTTTAATGTCACTGAAGAGAGAAGGACCTTTTTCTTACAAAGTCTATGTGTTTAACAGTTTTATTTTTTAAACATTTGCTTTCTATTTGGGGTGTATTTATACTCTTCCTTTTTTTTAGCTCCTGTGAATAGTCACCGTAACTATGGTAGAGATGGAACTTTCGAGGCTTATATAAGTAGCAGCGTGCCTTTGTGTTTCGGCTGGTCCGAGTGCAGTGGTGTTTACAACTAATTGATCACAACCAGTTACAGATTTCTTTGTTCCTTCTCCACTCCCACTGCTTCACTTGACTAGCCTTTTGCTGTGGTTTTGGGGTGGGAAAGCATTTTCTGTTCCCCAATACAGAACAGCCAAGATCCTGCCTGAAGGTTTTTCTTAAGCACACCACTACTTGCCAGTGAAGATGACTAGTGGACAGAGCACATTAAGTGTTTTTAGGAGCCTGGCATGCTCCGTGTTGAAAAGGGAGGTCCCCTCGTCTCTGAATTGTACCTTGAGAATAAGGAGAACCATAGGTTTAGGTGACCTAAGGAATGAACCATGTCTCACGCACCTCCTTATCCACGGTGTCAGGCATGAAGAAGAGGGATCCAGGAGAGGGCAAAGGTCCGCAGAGTGCAGTGGTAAGAGAGCAAGCTTTTCAAATTGCAAAGTAATGTACATAGCATGATTCTATTTCACACTGAAAAGTAAAACACTTTGCACATCTGTGCTTAAGCTTGTCTGTGTTAATACAGTATTAGCAAGATCAAAGATGAAGAAAATCCCAAGCTGTTAACCTAGAAATGATGCAGACACGAAGCTTTCCTCTTTACTGTGTGGTGGGGAAACTGCTCACCTCGGACACGATGGTTCATGGTATTATCTCTAAACCTGGATCCACCAAGCTTTGCTTTTCTTGTAAAACATAAAGATTTTGGTATTGGAAAATATCCCCTTTCTCTTCGCAAATGCCGCGCTTTTGCAAATCAAAATTATTTTGGCTTCAAACTACTGTCTGTGCAATGACAGTAGGATATAGTGTGCAATATTTGGGACATACTTATGCTAAAAATCTATTTACACTATTGTTCAAATTTGACCAGGCATCCTGTATTTTATCTGACAATCCTATCTTATTCAAATACGTCTTAGGAAAGAACTAATGCCAAACTCTTTTCTTCCTCAAGTTATCATATTACTCTGAGCTGGCCTTATAGTTGCACTGGGCATTCATTATTGCTTTGCAGATATTATCTGGTTAGGAAGTTTCTGGAGATAGGATACATATGTCATCAAGACTGATAGAATTGTGCAGTCTCATATCTGTGGAATGAAATCAACCTAAAGTCAGAGAAATTGACTCTGCTCTCGTGTTAGTTTCGTAGTGTCCATATTAACAGTTATTCCACCATCAACTACATACTTTTTTCTCTCTCTCTCCCTCCCTCCTAACTATCCATCCATCTATCTTTTAGTTTTTAGCAATGTTTCCACTGACTGGAATAGTACAGCAATTGGTTTCATGGCTTTGTTGACATTGTTTGATTGCTGGTTTTTCTTTGCGGGGTAGCAGAGAGAATACTTTTGGGGAAGAAAGGTTATTCTGGCTCTGCAAGCAATGAACTCAGTGGCTGACTCTCGGCTGCTTATGTGATCTCTCTCAGAACCTCAGTTTCTTCATTTGTAAAATGATAATGTCTGTCATACTAATTTAACTGGACTGCAAAGAATATTAAATGAAATAGGTCATATGAAAATACCCTGTACCTTATAAAACACAATACAAATGTATTCCTTTGCAAATATCAAATGGTGACTATGGCCAATAGACTGTTACTCTCTTGCAATATCATTTAATTGCCATTATTCCTGAGATACAGTGACAGTCCTGTGTTCATAGCTGGTACGTGATCATAGCAACATCAGTTGGCTTGAACAATCACTGTAATTAAGGCATATCTATTATTGAAGAAGCAGCAAGCTAGCTGTACGGGAAAAGCCTCGGGACTTAGATTGAGGAGACCCTTAAGTCTTGACTTCCTGATTCAGTTACCTCTCACCAGGTTCCCCCTCAACACCTGAGAATTACAATTCAAGGCCGGGTGTGGTGGTTTTTGCCTGTATTCCCAGCACTTTGGAGCCCGAGGTTGGCGGACCACCTGAGGTCGGGAGTTCGAGACCAGCCTGACCAACATGGAGGAACCCCGTCTCCACTAAAATACAAAAAATTAGCTGGGCGTGGTGGCACATGCCTGTAATCCCAGCTACTCGGGAGGCTGAGGCAGGAGAATCGCTTGAACCTGGGAAGCGGAGGTTGCAGTGAGCCGAGATCGCGCCATTGTGCTCCAGCCTGGGGAACAAGAGCGAAACTCCGTCTCAGAAAGAAAAAAAAAAAACAAAAAACCCCACAGGGAAGCTCTTGGGAAACCCACATGTGCCCTCAAGGTGCCTTGGGTTACTTTCACCTATAAGAAAAATTTAAATATTCTTTTGTTGTATACACATTTGTGGCAGTCACACTGTACTGCAACACCACCACAATCTCATCAAACAACACTTTGCCTCGAGGCTGTTAGGAATGTATACTTCCATGTAGCGAAGAGGGAAGGAAGATCAGTGTAATGACCCTTTGTTTCTGATGAGGAGGCAGCTGCGTGGCTTTCTAAAGGCTACATAAGAACCTAAGGGCTGAACCAGGATTAGAAAGTGGCTCTGGTGCCTCACGTGGTGAGCATCCCGCAATGTACTCTGCCCTCTTCCGCCTTCTCTATTTTCAAACTCTTGGACTTGGTTTGTCTTCCTCCAAAATACTTTCTCTCTGAAAATGTTCACATCTCTTAGCTTCAAAACTTAACTGGATTGTCGACTTTGAAATGCCTCTTAATTTTGTCCATTGAGTGTTGTATCATCAAATACCAGTCCTTAATCCTACTGATATTAAAACATTAAAAAAATCCTGGCCGTGCGCGGTGGCTCACGCCTGTAATCCCAGCACTTTGGGAGGTTGAGGCAGGAGGATCACTTGAGGTTAGGAGTTCAAGACCAGCCTGGCCAACATGGCGAAACTTCGGTCTTTACAAAAATAGAAAAATTAGCCAGGCGTGGTGGCGCGCGCCTATAGTCCCAGCTACTCAGGAGGCTAAGGCAAGATAATCGCTTGGACCCACGAGGCGGAGGTTGCAGTGAGCCGAGATCACACCACTGCACTCCAGCCTGGGTGACAGAGACTCCAGCCTGTCTCAAAAAAAAAAAAAAAAAAAAAAAAAAAGAAAGAAAAGAAAAGAAAAAGTACAAGAAAAAGAAAAACCCCTATTCACCCTCATCCCATTTCCTGTCTTTGATCTCTTAGGACATACTATACCATCTTTACCAATAATTGGTCCGTAGTATCTATTACTATTTATTTGATTTTTGTTTTCTTTTTCCTTCTTGTCTGTGATGGGTTTTCCCAAATTTACTGTTTGTTTCTGGAAGAAAAGAATAGTACTTCGTTTTCCCCCTGTATTCCATGCTTTATTTAATGATGCTGACTTTCAACATTTTAAAATTGAGATGAAAACAAGAAACGAGGGATGCCAGGAGAGTGGAAACTCTCGTAAAAGACTAGTCAAGTGCAGTAGTGAGAAGGGGGGAAAGAGTAGAACAAGGAGTTCGATCTGTAACTGACTGTGAACAATCAATTGAGATAACTCACTACCTTCGGACCAGCCAATAAGTCCTCCTACTGTTTGAACTATTTAAAGCCCCCAAATTTGTTCATTTTCCCCTTACAGTGATATTCTGGTTTCAGTTTACTGATGACTATATTTACAATATTAATGATATATATATACTCTAAGAATTCCCTGGCACATCTATTTATCAATAGCTGGAAAAACGTACTGAATAACAAGAATCAGACGTGTTGCTAAGCATCCTGGGAAAGAGATATGCAAAATTAGCATTTCGTCATCAGGGCGTCTTTCCCCCGGTTTGTCTTGAGTGGCTCAGCCACCGCAAGGTACCAGAGAGCCGCCCAATCTGCGCTGGCCTCCTTTATCTGTTTGCTGTGTGACCCTCCGGACAGCTCTGTGGGACCTGGAGGAAACTGTGAGCCCTACAGATAAAGTCTGTGCTTCCAGCGTCGGTAAATCCCAGCAAGCGCCACTACCTGGAGGCTGACACTTTCCCATCTTGGCAGTCAGCTCCCTACAGAGGTGCTTCTCCCACTGCCCAAGATCCCTGCCTCCTCCTTAAACCCCAACTGATAGAACAGAAACCACCACCTAAGGAACGTGAAGGGGAAGCATCTGAAACACCAGAAGATCTTGGATTGTTCCTGAGGACTTCAGAATCTACAGGGACAAAAGGCAGAAGCAGGAAGTCCGAAGTAAAGATGACTAAGAAAAGGCGGGTGGAAAAGATTTCTGTGAAAGTGTCAGAGGCAAAGCTCTGAAAGACCTGAAACTCATGCCGAAAGCAAAGAACAGCAAAAAGACAGTAGGGATGTGTCTGGAGCAACAAGGATCGGGCTGTTCCTGGGGCAGCCGAATTCACAGCTCTGTTTTACTCCTAATGGAGGATCTTCCTGCTGCAGCGGCGAGTAGACCTTACTGTAAAGGTGCAGGCAAGGGGAGGGGAAGGGCAGGCAGCTGCCCATTGGAGTTCACATCTCCAAGCCTGAGAAAATGTGTTCCTGGATGCCCCAAGCCAATGGAAAAGCAGAATCATTGACTATGTTTGACTCCTTCTGGTACCTAGCACAGTATCTGGGACACAGCAGGTGCTATGTAAATGTGTTGAGTGAATGAATGAATGAATGCCATTGAGGAGAATGAATAACCCCAGAAAACTAGACATGGGTAGATGTTGTCCTAATTTCAAAAGAGGGGAAAATGAGAGTGAGAGTTTCATAAATGACAATCTCTAAACGATGTTGCTCTCTAGCAAAATTCTAGAATGGATTATTTTAAGAACAAAGCAGGTAAACATTGGCAGCCAACTTGAAATTAATAAGAAAAAGGTGTGCGCCAGAATAGTTTTATTTCCTTTTGTTTTTCATTGTACAGCTTGATTTGACTAAGTTGTTTATACCTTTCACTCTGCCTTTGCATGCACTGGGGGTGATCTAGTCTACTATGTGGACTGGAAGTCCACCCAGTGGCCAGGCTCAGAGGCAGGGAAGGGGGGTTGGTGCCATTCTGGGAGAGGAGGTTTCTGGGGCTGTTTCTCAGCCAGATCCTGTCTCATCTGTTTCCAACAACCCCACAAATGAAGACACTGAAGCTGACTAATCAAATTGACTGATGCCCCAATAGGTGTCATGATATGCAGTGAGAATCCGGCAGGCATTAGAGATGAACAGCACGGGCTGCAGCCACATTATCTCAGCTTGAGTCCTAGTTTTCACCAGCTACTAGCTAGCTATCTCTGGTCAAGTCACTTACCTTGCTTGAGCCTCAGTTTCTCCATCTAGAAAATGGTCATAATCGAAGTATCTATCTTATAGGGTGTTGGGAAGATTAACTGAGAAGCCACATAGAGTTTACTGGCACATTAAAAAAAGAAACTATAAGAATGTTAGCTGTCCTTTTGCACGGCAAAAGGAACAGTAAGCAGAGTAAACAGACAACCCACAGAGTGGGAGAAAATCTTCCCAATCTATACATCCGACAAAGGACTAACATCCAGAATCTACGAGGAACTCAAATTAGCAAGAAAAAAACAATCCCATCAAAAACTGGCCTAAGGACATGAATAGACAATTCTCAAAAGAAGATATACAAATGGCCAACAAACATATGAAAAAGTGCTCAATATCACTAATGATCAGGGAAATGCAAATCAAAACCACAATGCAATACCACATTACTCCTGCAAGAATGGCCATAATAAAAAAAAAATCAAAAAAATAATAGATGTTGGTGTTGATATGGTGAAAAGCGAACACTTCTACACTGCTGGTGGGAATGTAAAGTAGTACAACCACTATGGAAAACAGTGTGGAGATTCCTTAAAGAACTAAAAGTAGATCTACCATTTGATCCAGCAATCCCACTACTGGATATCTACCCAGAGGGGAAAAAAAAAGTCATTATATGAAAAAGATGCTTGCACATGCATGTTTGTAGCAGCACAATTCGCAATTGCAAAAATATGGAACCAGCCCAAATGCCCATCAACCAACAAATGGATAGAGAAACTGTGGCATAGGGCTGGGCGCCGTGGCTCACGCCTGTAATCCCAGCACTTTGGGAGGCTGAGGCAGGCGGATCACGAGGTCAAGAGTTTGAGACCATCCTGGCCAACATGGTCAAAGCCTGTCTCTACTAAAAATACAAAAATTAGCCGAGTGTGGTGGCGTGCACCTGTAGTCTCAGCTACTTAAGAGGCTGAGGCAGGAGAATCGCTTGAACCTGGGAGGCGAAGGTTGCAGTGAGCCAAGATCACACCACTGTACTCCAGCCTGGCAACAGAGCAAGACTCTGTCTCAAAAAAAAAAAAAAAAAAAAAAAAAAAAAAAAAAAAAAAAGAAAGAAAAAAAAGAAAAAAGAAACTGTGGCATATATATACAATGGAATACTACTCAGCCATAAAAAGGAGTGAATTAATGGCATTTGCCGCAACCTGGATGAGATTGGAGACTATTATTCTAAGTGAAGTAACTCAGGAATGGAAAACCAAACATTGTATGTTCTCACTTATAGTGGGAAATAAGCTCTGAGGATGCCAAGGCATAAAAATGATACAATGGACTTTGGGACTTTGTGGGGGAAAGGGTAGGAAGGGGATGAGGATTAAAAGGCTAAAAATTGATTTCAGTGTATATTGCTCTGGTGATGGGTGCACACCGAAATCTCACAAATCACCACTAAAGAACATACTCATGGCCGGGCGCAGTAGCTCACGCCTGTAGTCTCAGCACTTTGGGAGGCCGAGGCAGGCGGATCACGAGGTCAGGAGATCGAGACCATCCTGGCTAACATGGCAAAACCCCGTCTCTACTAAAAATACAAAAAAAAAATTAGCCGGGCATGGCGGTGGGTGCCTGTAGTCCCAGCTTCCTCTCATGCTATGTAGATGTCACACCTGGTCCAACCCATCTTTGGGTCCCTGGTAAATCAGACACCGCCTCCTCAAGCCTGCCTATAAAATCCGGTGCACTCCACTGAGGTCTGGAGGTCCCATTTGGGTGCACCTCTCTCTCGAAAGAGACAAAGCTGTTCTCTGGGCCGGGTGGGGTGGCTCACACCTGTATTCCCAGTGCTTTGGGAGGCCGAGGTGTGCAGATCACATGAGGTCGGGAGTTTGAGACCAGCCGGACAAACATGGAGAAACCCCGCCTCTACTAAAAATACAAAATTAGCCGGGCATAGTGGCACATGCCTGTAGTCCCAGCTACTCGGGAGGCTGAGGCAGAAGAATGATGTGAACCTGGGAGGCGGAGCTTGCAGTGAGCCAACATCGCACCACTGCGCTCCAGCCTGGGCGACAGAGCAAGACTCTGTCTCAAAAAAAAAAAAAAAAAAAAAAAAAAAAAAAAGAACTTACTCATGTAACCAAATACCACCTGTTCCCCCAAAATCTATGGAAATAGAAGCTTTTAAAAAATTAAAGGCTGGGTACGGTGGCTCACGCCTGTAATCCCTGCACTTTGGGAGGCCAAGGCGGGCAGATCACCTAGGGCAGGAGTTCAAGACCAGCCTGGCCAACATGGCAAAACTGTCTCTACTAAAAATACTAAAAGTAGCTGTGTGTGATGGTGCATGCCTGTAATCCCAGCTACTCGGGAGGCTGAGGTAGGAGAATTGCTTGAACCCGGGAGGCAGAGGATGCAGTGAGCCAACATCACGCCACTGCACTCCAGCCTGAGAGACAGAGAGAGCCTCCATTTCAAAAAAAAATTTTTTAAAAAAGAATGTTAGCTCTCAGGGTTCAGAATCATTTTTCCTGGCTGACTGGACACAAGCTAACAAGAAACAGACATAAACTAACAAGGTAACAGACATAAATTATCAGAGCTGAAGTTTCCCTTTTCAGTTAAAAAACAACAAATCTGACCAAGTACCAGATAAGAGAATCCCACACAGTAAAAATGCAAATACTTGTGTAGTTTCACAGAAGGCTGTCATTGTCCCTGAAGTCTGTTCTCACTGGGTGGAACCCAGGGCCCAGGGGTCAGTTTGGGGTCCCATATTTTAAAAAAGACGTCAACAAAGAAGAACTGCCCAGGGCAAGGTGAGCAAGATGGTGACACACACTTCCTCCAGGTGAGTGATTCTTGACTTTGCAAAAATGCTTTCAACTAACAGTTTGGTGGTTCCTCAAAAAGTTAAATACAGAACTACCATATGACCCCAAATTTCCACTCCTAAGTATATACCCCAAGGGGCAGAAAACATGTCCACACACAAGTCTGAGCACAAATGTTCACAGCAGCACTATTCACAATAGCCAAAATGTGGAAACAACCCAAGTGTCCGCTGAAGCAAGAATGGATAAACGACGGGGGTACGCGTGTATAATGGAATGCTATCCATCCATTAAAAGGAAGGACGAGGCCGGGTGCGGTGGCTCACGCCTGTAATCCCAGCACTTTGGGAGGCCAAGGCAGGTGAATCACGAGGTCAGGAGATTGAGACCATCCTGGCTAAGACAGTGAAACCCTGTCTCTACTAAAAATACAAAAAATTAGCCAGGTGTGGTGGCGGGCACCGGTAGTCCCAGCTACTCGGGAGGCTGAGGCAGGAGAATGGCGTGAACCCAGGAGGCAGAGCTTGCAGTGAGCCGAGATCGCGCCACTGCACTCCAGCACTCCAGCCTGGGTAACAGAGCAAAACTCTGTCTCAAAAGAAAAAAAAAAAAAAAGGGAAGGATGTTCTGACACATCCTACATGGGTGAGCCTTGAAAACATTATTCTAAGTGAAAGAAGCCAGACATAAAAGGTCGCATATTGTAGGATTCCATTTATATGAAATGTTCAGAATAGGCAAATCCATAGAGACAGAATGAAGATTGGTGACTGCCAGGCGCTGGAGGGCATGACTGTTTAATGGCTACAGGATTTCCTTTGGGGCTATTAATGTTTTGGAACTAGTTTTGTACAACAGCGAGAATGTACTAAACGCCCCTGAACTGTACCCTTAAAAATGGTTAATTTTATGTTATGTGAATTCCACCCCAGTTTTTTGTTTTTGTTTCTTTGTTTTTGAGACGGAGTCTCGCCCTGTCGCCCAGGCTGGAGTGCAGTGGCGCGATCTCAGCTCACTGCAACCTCTGCCTCCTGGGTTCAAGTGATTCTCCTGCCTCAGCCTCCCGAGTAGCTGGGACTACAGGCATATGCCACTATGCCCAGCTAATTTTTTGTATTTTTAGTAGAGATGGGGTTTCACCATGTTGGTTAGGCTGGTCTCGAACTCCTGACCTCAAATGATCCATTTGCCTCAGCCTCCCAAAGTGCTGGGATTACAGGCATGAGCCACCATGCCTGGCCCCCACCCCAGTTCTTTAAAATGCTTTCAACTAATAGTATCCCATTTGATCTGGTCCTCTTGACGGTCTTGTGAAGTGAGTAGGACTGGTGATATTTTTTCTTGTTTTCCGTTTGAGAAAAATGAGGCTGGGAGGTTTGCCCAGTTAGTAAGCTAAGTGATGGCAGATGGGGTCTCAAGGAGTCTCTGATTCCAGGACCAGTGTGGTCTCCGCCATTCCCCTCTGCATCCCTTTCACCCCACTCCACTGGCGCAACACCTCCCCGGGCACAGTGGGGTCAGGGAGGGTGGTCCCATAGCCCTTGTGGTCAGCCCTGCAGAGGAGCCCGAAGGGGCTTTGGGGCCATCTGCTGAGGTTCATGCTGCCTTGACCCTTGGACTTGCTCTCCTGATCAACTGCAGCAGGCACGCAGTGCAGCACATGGAGCTGCTTCTTCCCAGGAGGCCAGGGCCAGGGCCACATCCACCGGCTGACCCAGGTAGGACTCGATGCAAAGGCTTGAGGCTGGTGTGGGTGATGTGGAGTTGCTTCTGAATGTTACCTTCAGTAGACAATGGAGGTAATGTTGAAAATCTTGGCCGGGTGCGGTGGCTCACACCTATAACCCCAGCACTTTGGGAGGCTGAGGCAGGCAGATCACCCGAGGTCAGTAGCTCGAGACCAGCCTGGCCAACATGGCAAAATCCCATCTCTACTAAAAATACAAAAATTACCCTGGCGTGGTGGCTTGCACCTTGGCATCGTGGGGCTGTGCCAGCGAGGCTCCTGGGGCACCCATGGAAAGGCGGTCTCACTCATAGGGTGTGGGGCATGGGACTGGCACCACTCTGACCCTCCCATGTGTGAGCTGCTCTTTGCCTCCTCGTCTGTTACTGCCCTGGATCAGAGAGAAATAAACAGGGGACAAAAACAAAAACAAAAACCTGCGGAAATGACACTTAAAATTGTACAAATACCAAAACCTGGAAGGAAGTCACGGCTTTTCCTTCTGCCCCATGTAAACATCCACCTGGAGAGTGAGCTGGAAATCGAGTGTCTCGCTGCTTGAGACCCTCCAGCCTTTATTTTTATTTTTATTTAAGTGCTAACTGACAGTAATCCAGCCTTTAAATTGTGAAAATAAAACTAACAATAGGCCGGGTGCAGTGGCTCATGCCTGTAATCCCAGCACTTTGGGAGGCCGAGGCAGGTGAATCACTTGAGGCCAGGAGTTCAAGACCAGCCTGGCCAACATGGCAAAACCCCATCTCTACTAAAAATACAAAAATTAGCTGGGCGTGGTGGCTCGTGCCTGTAGTCCCAGCTACTTGGGAGGCTGAGGCAGGAGAATCACTTGAACCCAGGAGGTGGAGGTTGCAGTGAGCAGAGAGCGAGCCACTGCACTCCAGCCTGGGCAAAAGGTCACATATTGATGGAGACTCTGTCTCAAAAATAAATAAAACTAAGTAACAATAAAAAAACAAAACAAAAAGTGTCCCAGAGCTTCCAGGGTCCCATGGGGGAGCTGGGGTCCCTCTGACCTTCACACCCAGCTGGAAAGGGCCTGGGGTCTAGCGGCACCCTGCAGCTGGGGCTTTACCAGGGTTGTGCCGAAACTATGCCCTGTGCAGTCAGACCTGTGGTGCTGGTATTTGCTTGATCTGCTTTTCCTAGTCCAGGTCACTGCATAGGCTGGAGTGGTCTTCAAAGTGAAAATGGGCACACTTGGCTGCTTCCTGCTCAGGCCCCCGAGATTGCAGCTCTTGGCCCCTGTGGGTCATGTAACTGACACCTCTCAGCACAGCCAGGCTTGGGGCACTGGGTCTCCCACCAGCAGCCAAGAGATGCTGAAGCCTGTGGCCCCTCCCTCTCTGAGGACCTTGGTTCATGGCTTGGCTACTTTCCTTTCAATCCCTCAAAATACGAAGGGTCTGCCCACATGCCCTTCCCCACTGTCCCCCCAGGGTGCTGCCATAGGCCATTCTGCAGGTTGCTGGGTGTGGGGATGGGCATTTTCAGACCTCAGGGTGACTCCCAGGTATTCCCCTAGTTATAGAAACGACTTTGTCTCAGGCAGCACTAAGTCACAAGTAACTGAAACTATAAAAGTATCCATCCTCAGCCTTCTCTGGAATTTGAATGGCCTTTGCCTTGCCTGACCACCTCCTTTTCATGGCCTCGGCCTGGCCTGACCACCTCCTTTTCACGGCCTCAGCGTCTGGGTTTTCCCTTACAGATTTCATCCTTTTCAAAAGGAGGCTGCCTCCTCTGTCCCTGTCTCTGTCTTCCTTACAAGTAGAGCCTCCTAGGGTCAGAGAGAAGGCTCACAGGTACCAGCTGGGTCCCCTTTGACAGGGTCAAGGGACATTCCCCTCACCTCCAGTCTGGTCCTGAGCCAACCACCTTGCCTCAGTTGGGAAAGTTTTCTTTTCTTTTCTTTTTTTGAGATGGAGTCTCGCTCTGTCGCCCAGGCCGGACTGCAGTGGCGCGATCCCGACTCACTGCAAGCTCCGCCCCCCGAGTTCACGCCATTCTCCTGCCTCAGCCTCCCAAGTAGCTGGGACTACAGGCGCCCGCCACCACGCCCGGCTAATTTTTTGTATTTTTAGTAGAGACGGGGTTTCACCGTGTTAGCCAGGATGGTCTCCATCTCCTGACCTCGTGATCCGTCCGCCTCGGCCCCCCAAAGTGCTGGGATTACAGACGTGAGCCGCCGCGCCCGGCCTCAGTTGGGAAAGTTTTCTAAACAGCCTTTCTGAAGATCCAGGAGTTCTTTACCTGAACTGTTATGGGACAAGTGTGTGCTGCAAACAGCCCCTCTGGAGAGCAGCACAGGCCCCCGCTTTAGCTGGTTTGGTTTTCACAAAGAGGAGGGGATCTGGAAAGAGGGGCGGAGGAGGTAGAGCTACTGTGGCCTGTGATCAGAGTAGAGGGATTGTTTCCGGGCCCATGACTAGGGGCAGGAGCCTGGCAGCTACAAGGTCACAGCATTTAGGCACCTGGACTGGTGGCAGCAAAGGGGACAGGTGGAGTCTATGCCTTGTGCTAACTCAGCAGAGAGACTTGAACTCTCAAGGCATCGAAATGGATTCAACCCTGTGCAGTTTGGGGTTTTAAATTATTTTTATTATTAGAGACTGGGGTCTTGCTATGTTGCCCATGCTGGACTCAAACTCCTGGGCTCAAGTGATCCTCCTGCCCCGGCCAACCAAACTCTGGGATTACAGGCGTAAGCCACTGCACCTGGCCTCCCATGCAGTTTTGAATACTTGGAAGTATCCTGGCCAGCTCTGTGGCTTTGGGCAAGGCCATCTCTTCTCCAATTCTCAGTTTCCTTAAAAGGAGGGAGTCTGGCCAGGTGCGGTGGCTCATGCCTTTAATCCCAGCACTTTGGGAGGCCAAGGCGGGTGGATCACTTGAGGCCAGGAGTTCAAGACCAGCCTGGCCAACATGGCAAAACCCCATCTCTACTAAAAATACAAAAATTAGCTGGGTGTGGTGGCGGGTGCCTGCAGTCCCAGCTACTCTGGAGGCTGAGGCACGAGAATTGCTTGAGGCAGAGGTTGCAGTGAGCTGAGACTGCGCCACTGCACTCCAGTCTAGGAGACAGAGTGAGAATCTGACTCAAATAAAAAATAAAAAATAAAGAGGGAGTTCGAAGTGTCAAGGCTTTGGAAGGAACAGCAGATTCTGGTGGGCTTGAGCCTAACCAGCCCTGCCACCAGAGGACTGTTGCTGCTTCCATGACCCAAATTAGTCTTTGGGTGACCAAAAGGCAGTGATTAAAAAGTGGCCACTGGCCGGCTGTGGTGGCTCACACCTGTAATCCCAGCACTTTGGAAGGCCAAGGTGGGTGGATTGCCTGAGGTCAGGAGTTCAAGACCAGCCTGACCAACGTGGCGAAACCCTGTCTCTACTAAAAATACAAAAATTAACTGGGCATGGTGGCACACACCTGTAATCCCAGCTACTCAGGAGGCTGAGGCAGTAGAATCACTTGAACCTAGGAGGCAGAGGTTGCAGTGAGCCAAGATCATACCACTGTACTCCAGCCTGGGCGACAGAGTGAGACTCTGTCTAGAAAAAAAAAGAAGTGGCTGCCAAGCACGAGGTGTAGCAGGTCTCTATGGTCTCTATGGGGTATGCTACTAAGAGGTCAGAGAATGGGGAGGCTTCTGAGCAGGACAGCTCCTCCAGGCACTGTGTCAAGACGACCCATGGCATGAGCGCTGATCCCTGGGCAAGGAAGGGACCATTCTTGTGTTCCAATGCGGTTGAAGCATTTATGCCGTGCACTCAGTAATCCAGCCAAACAACCCTGACTGCAGCCTCAACTGCAGCTCCAGATTGGAATCTTCAGCTTTTCTAAGGGAACTCCTCCATTTTTAAACCTTTGTTACAATCGGGGGATCCTGTGTGCTGGTTTGTTTCTTGGGGTTTTAATACTATGAGGAAAAAAAAAGGGTGATGTTGACTTAGATCAGATGTCTCTAACTAAATACAGCCCTTAAGTGCCTTTCTTTGGCCTATCCAGTGTTGATAAGACCATTTGAGTTAGATCTGACACTTAAAAATTGGGTGATTTCACATAAAAATGCCTGGCTTTTCTTGAAAAACCAAAGAGTAACAGCAGGCTCAGATTCCCACCTGCAACAAGTGCCTGGGGCCAAGCAGCAGCACCCACTTCAGGCAGGACAGAGGACCTCAAGTGCACCCGGGTCGCCACCACTCCCCATCACCCCTTGCCGCACTTAACCTTGCCTGCCAGGTCCCTTGAACACTGGAGGTTTCAACCTCTGGCCTCCAGCGAACCCAACTGTCCATGAGTTCCAAGTAGGAGACTTTTGTAGCAGATTGGGGAGGGAGGATTCAAAGGCATGTTTTCAATTTAACCTGATCTGAGCCTACACTTGCTGTTAATAGATGAGAAAAGCCAGAAAGAATAGATAGAAGGGAATGGGAATGGTGGCTCACATTTGTAATCTCAGCACTTTGGGAGGCCAAGGCAGGCGGATCACTTGAGCCCAGGTGTTTGAGACCAGTCTAGGCAACATAGTGAGATCTCATCTCTACAAAAAAAAAAAAAAACACACACACAAAAACTTAGCTGGGTGTGGTAGTGCACACCTGTAGTCCCAGTTTACTTGGGAGGCTGAAGTGGGAGGATTACCTGAGCCTGGGAGGCCAAGGCTGCAGTGAGCCATGATTGTGCCACTGCACTCCAGCCAGGGGGACAGAGTGAGACCCTGTCTCAAAAAATTAAAAAAAAAAAAAAAAATTGACTCCTTTCCCACGACTCCTTCTCCAAGCTGTTTTCTAAAAAATCCCCTTCTGGCTCACGTCTGTAACCCCAGCACTTTGGGAGGCCAAGGCAGGCGGATCATTTGAGGTCAGGAGTTCGAGACCAGCCTGGTCAACATGGTGAAACTGTCTACTAAAAATACAAAAAAAATTAGCCAGGCATGGTGGGGCATGCCAGTAATCCCAGCTACGCTGAGGCACGAGAATTGCTTGAACCTGGGAAATGGAAGTTGCAGTGACCTGAGATTGTGCCACTACACTCCAGCCTTGGATGACAGAGCGAGACTGTCTTGAAAAAAAAAAAAAAGAAAGAAAAGAAAAACTTCTCAGTTTTTACTTTTGAACTAGAGGTCCTTTGTCCTCCTCCCTCTTCCACAGTCTCTCTGTAATCTAAGATGAGAACACGTTGAATTCAAGAGCTGTGCTCATCTTGCCTTGTGCTGAGCCGAGTGAAAAGAGTGTGGAGCGAGTGGTGTGGCTGACGGGAGGCTCTGGCTTAGGTAAGAGAGCCCCTTCCATATCTGGCCCCTCAAGCCTGGGCTTCCCAAGAATCTACAGTTCTCCATTTACTCATTCAAAAGGTGTGCAGTTACTATGCGCTGGCCCTGGGCGGCCTCCCCGTTCCACCTCTATTTTTTTTTTTTTTGAGACGGAGCCTCACTCTATCACCCAGACTGGAGTGCAGTGGGTCAATCTCGGCTTACTGCAGCCTCTACCTCCCAGGTTCCAGCGATTCTCCTGCCTCAGCCTCCTGGGTAGCTGAGATTACAGGCGCCCGTCACCTCACCGGGCTAATTTTTGTATTTGTAGTAGAGACAGGGTTTCACCATGTTGGCCAGGCTGGTCTCGAACTACTGACCTGAGGTGATCTGCCTAACCTTAGCCTCCCACAGTGCTGGGATTACAGGCATGAACCACCGCGCCCGGCCCTACCTCTCACTTTTGCTTCCCAAGCTTTCTGCAAGATTTAAAAACACTAAGTACTAAAAACTATACTGAATACTGAATAAACATTAAATACAGTCATGTCACTTAGTAACAGGAACATGTACTGAGAAATGCATTGTTAGGCGATTCTGGCATTGTGTGAATATCAGAGTGCATTTCCACAGACCCTGATGGTACAGCCCACTATACACCCTGGCTGTACGGTATAGTGTATCGCTCCTAGGCTACAAACCTGTACAGCATGCACTTGTGCTATTGTAAGCATTTGTGTATCTATGCATAGAAAATGTACAGTAAGAATATGGTGTAAAAGATTAAAACAGTATGCCTATAAAGAGTACTTTCTATGAATGGAGCTTGTCGGACTGGAAGTTGTTCTGGGTGAGTCAGTGAGTGGTGAGTGAATGTGAAGGCCTCAGAGTTTACCGTCCACGACTGTAGACTTTATAAGCACCGCAAGCTTAGGCCACGCTACATTTATTTTTAAAATACGGTAGCGGCCAGCCGTGGTGGTTCATGCCTGTAATCCCAGCACTTTGGGAGGCTGAGGCAGGAGGATCACCTGAGGTCAGGAGTTCAAGACCAGCCTGGCCAATATGGTGAAACCCCATCTCTGATAAAAACACAAAAATTAGCCGGGCATGGTAGCACGCACCTGTAGTCCCAGCTACTCGAGAGGCTGAGGCAGAATAATTGCTTGAACCCGGGAGGCGGAGCTTGCAGTGAGCTGAGAATGCATCACTGCACTCCAGCCTAGGCGACAGAGCGAGACTCCGTCTCAAAGAAAAATAAATAAAAAAAATACGGTAATTTTGCTATGACGTTATGAAGGCTACATCATCACTAAGTGAAAGAAATTTTTCAGCTCCGCTATAATTTTATGGGACCACTGTCATAAATGTGGTCCATCATTGACAGAAATGTCATTACTCAGTGCATGAGTGTACCTCTTTAATTCATTATAGTAGGAATCAAATAATCAATCATGTCCACTCGAGTTTAATCCCTTTGCTGCACCGGGTAGGGTCTGAGGTTGTGCACCTGGTGGCCTGGAGGGTCAGATTTGTCCATGGGGCTCCTGGAGCCCTTCCTAGCTCACAGCCCTTACCCTAGGGCTGGCCCACCTTGACAGGGGATGCCTTGGTCCTTCCAAGGGCAGGTGTGTGCTCAGAAGACAGACTCAGCTGACGAGACTTACGTGTTAGGAGAGCTGATCATTCGGGAACTCGTGGATCTGTGGGATGTGTAGTCAAAGCCAGGGACCTTGAAGTCAAAGGTCCTATCCATCTCCTGGAGGGAGGCCTGGCCTGCCGGGGCTACAGGCTCTGAGAGGCTCTTCACCCAAGAACCCCACGGAAGTTTTATTTGTTTGAGCTCCATTATTTCCCAAGCCAAGTAACTCACAGATTCTACTCTAGTGGAGTGCATACTAACCTCCTTCAGAAGGCTTCAACACGTTCTAGGAGCTGCTGATGCACTGAAGGACACCTGTTCTGAGTTCCGCTCCAGCTTCCCAGTTTACCCACCCTGTGGCTCTGGGGGAAATTCTTTACTATCTGACCTCTGCTTCCTTTTCTATGAGGCAGAGGTGATATGACCTAGACAGGCAAGACCTGTCCTTCCTCCATCATATCCTCAAAAAAAAAAAAGGGGCGGGCAGGGTGGGATAGGCACAGGTTTAAACATGGAGCAACATTTTGTTTTAGGTGGGTGATGAGTAAAGGGTGTGTATTATCCTAGTCTCTTTACTTTTGCATATGCTGAAAAGTTTCATAAGTGACAAAACCCTTCATTCAGAAACCTGGGCATCTTATCCGTCTTCTTGGGTCCACTCACCCACCCTCAGCATCTGATCAGTCTCAGAGCCCTGGAGATCCTGCCCCCTTATCCCTGAGACCCACTGGCCACCCACAATGCAGCCCACCCTCGCTCCCTTGCTCCTGAGGGAGGTGCCACAGCATTGAGAGTGGCCTGCGCTCACATCCCCACTCTGTTTGCTACTCAGCCCCACATCCCCCTCCTTTCTAGCTGTAAAATGAACGCAAGAACCTACCTCACAGGTCACTTAATGAGACAATCTGGCAATGCTCAACATGGGTTCTGGCTTTTGCTTAAGGCGAGATAAATGTTAACTGTTACTCGTCATCAATCTCAATCTCATCACATCACCTCCCTGCTGGAAACCATCAATGGTTCCCTGCAAACTAACATAAAGGTCAAGCTCCTGAATGCAGGCCCCCCAACCTGGCCCTGCCTCTCCTACCCTCAGCAACCCAGCCTCCTTGCACAGTGCTCCGTGGCTGGTGAAGGGGAAGGAGGGAAGTTTGCTTCCTCCTCCTCCTCCTCCCAGCTCCTGAGTCGGCCTCTCCAGGCCTGCAGCTGGGACAGTCCCCTCTTGGGTTCCCATGGCCCCGTACATACCTTCATCGTGGCACCGATCACGCTGGGCTGTCATCAACCTACTTGCCCGTCTCCTTTCTGAGGTCCCTCACAGGTCCAGGGTAAATTCCTTCAGTGGTCCCGCCTTTTGCAGGCAATGTAGAGGGAGCTGACTCAGTTAAGACACTCTTGGGCTACCCGACTTCCAGACTATTTCCAAAGAGGAAACATTTTGATTTTTGCCTCAGGGCCTTTGCACATGCTGGCCCCAAGCCTGGAACATTTACTCCTGGTATTTCCCAGACTTCAATATGCCTGTGACCCTCCTGGGATCTTCTTATACGCAGAATAATTCAGTAGGACCGGGGCCCAGCCTGAGACTCTACAGTTCTGACAGACATCCCAGTGATACCAAAGCTGCAGGTCCCTGGACACTCCTTTTTTGCCATCAGCTCAAGCCAACTTCTCCCGAGGGTCTTGGCTTAGATGTCACTTCAGAGCAGGGCTTCCCTGACACCTACACGAAGTGAGGTCACACTGCTGCTCCTCCCCAGAGAGGGGCTGTCTTCCTCAGGGCCCTTTGAACCCATGGGAGCCCTACCAGGACAGGAATCACTTTGTTCTCATGGTAGAGCGCTGAACGAATGGACTTCTGCTTCCGGAAACAGCCTTAACCGCTGCCCTACCCCAGGTCACAACTCCAAGCTTTTCGCCAGTGTTGAGGGGAAGGGCCTTGAAGAAAGGGCCCATCCCAGGACTGAGGGCCACCTGCTCTCCTGATGTGAGGGAGGGCACGATGGTTGGGGGTGGGGATGGGGGTGGGTGCAGAGACTTCTCATCACACAGGGAACTTACAGAGCACGGCCCACCCACAACTCCCAGCCTGCCCTGGCCAGGCTTAACTCTACAGCGGATCATCTCCCAGCCTGCCCTGGCCAGGCTTAACTTTACAGCGGATAATTGGGTAAGTCCACCAAGGCTGCCCCTTCCTGGGAGACCCAATGCCTCCTGCCCCCACCACCCCCAACACACACGTGTCACTGCTGCAGGAGCTGCCGTCAGCGCAAGGTTTCACCCTTGCCACTCTTCAGCCACAATTGGGAGCAGCTGAGTGACGGGGGAGGCGCGGGGTGAGGACGGTGATGGCTCATCTCGAACAAGCCTGTGATGAAATGAAGCCCAGGTCTTACTCAAATGCCCTGGAACCCTTATGGCACAGAACCACCTCTACACAAGCGCCGGTCCAGCGGAGCCGCCACCCCAGGAGAAGCGCTGAGGGGAGACCTCTGAAGCTCCTCAGCCTAGGTCAGGATGATCTCCACCCACCTGTGTCTGGAAGGAGGTGGGGGCTACTGCCAGGCCTCTGCAGGGCTTAGCTACATCCAGCTCCTGCCCCACCCCGAGGCTCCCAGCAGCACAGATCAGATGTTTTCTAACGCAGTTCTTAACGTTTTTAATCGTGTTTTATTCCATTGCCACAGCCTACTCTACCTTTTCTACCACCCCGCAGTATCTGCCTCTGGGTCCAGGGTCCTTTCTGCTCCGGCACTGGGGGCTCTCAAGAGGTGGGGCTGCCACGTGGGTGGCCTCTCCCTGGAGCTGAGCCCACCCTGGGGGACCCTGGATCATGCCCCTTTGCCCCCAGCCCTTGGTTTGCAGGGAGGCCGCCTGGCGATGCCCAGCCTGAAACAGCACCCCTGGCAGGGCTGCTCAGTGGCAGCTCTCACTTTGTGCTCAACAGGAAGCAATCAGAAACACATACCAGAAGCCAAATCTACGCCAACAATTTCTCAGACAACGAAAAAGCAAAGAGCAAAATCAACATGATTTGGAAAAGGAATTTTAAACCTTAAATTAAAAAAAGAAAACATTTTCACACAGAAGAATTATCTGCTTTGAGAAATAAAGAAATTAGAAGGTGTAAAAAAAAATTTTTCAAACCCCAAATAATGATAAAAATAGATGTATCCTCTGTAAAAATCTGGACTAAACTATTCAGTCATTCATGGTTATTCAGTATTCAGAGCATGAAGTGAAACACCAAAGTATAAAAAATTAAAAAAAAAAAAAAAGGAATCCGAGATACTGTCGTTTGTTGCCGGCCTCGGCGTGGACGCCCCGACCATGGGCCACGCAGGGCGTCTGCCTCCTCCCACCTTCCGCAGACCTCAGGCCTTCAAAGCTCTTCCTTGGTCCTGCTCAGTTTTGTGGCATGTT